>NC_000005.10:178469345-178619791 GCF_000001405.40 Homo sapiens | reverse complement strand
TCTTTCCATCAGATCAAGGCCACTTAACTGGGATCCATTGACATCCTGAGGCCCATGACCTTTGAAATTCCTTGCCAAGTTTTGTTTATGTGTTTCTTAGGAAAGAGAGTCCATGGCTTTCAGCAGATTTTCAAAGGGATCTCTAGATTAAAGCACGATGGCACTAGATGATGGTGTTTTCTGTTGTTTCTTAGGTATTTCTCAAACAGGAATGACAGGAAATTAGAAATGCAAAGGGAAGTAGGGTGGTGGAACTATTGTAATGCTAAACTACAGGATCCCTTTCTTATTTTAGGGGGATATATTTTAGATGCCTTTGGCACATGAGGCAGTCCTCAAAAGCTATGTTTTCTATTTCTCAAACAGGAATAACAAGGCTAGAAATGCAAAGAGTAGAGGAGACATGATAGATGCTGTGTGTAATAAAATTGGCCTGTATAATAGTGGTTTGAAAATATTTTAGTTTTTGTCACTAATGTTGTTATACAACCTTGGTAAATCATTTTTCTTCTAGGGATCTTAATGTAGTCGTCGGTAAAATGAAAGGGCTGGAATACATTTAAGGCTCCTTATAGCTCTAATATACCTTTCATGAAGGAATTCTCTCTGTGCCAGGGATATCTAAAATGCTCTTACATTACAAGAGAAAGGAATCCTTTTTGCCTGCCTCTGATTGTACCTCTGTGAGAGACTAAGACAGCTTAGATACAGGTGCAGAAGGTAAAGGAACACTTAATCAAGTAAACACTAGACATGAATTAATGATTTGACTCAAGCTTTATTCCTTGGTGTGAAGTGCTTGACAGCAAACTCTATAATGGGCCCATTTGCTTGTTTGTTAAAGTAAAATTATTTCTTAAGCTTTATGAGATAAATATAAATGCTAATTCATCTGTTTGAATTTTTTTCTTATATTGAGTTAGCTGTTTAAGAATTTCTGAGAAAATGTTTTGTTTGAACCACATTATTGCAGAATGAAGAGAATAATTTGAAATCTTTTAATGTGTTTGCAGTCATTAT
This sequence comes from Homo sapiens, assembly GCF_000001405.40. Taxonomy (NCBI): domain Eukaryota; kingdom Metazoa; phylum Chordata; class Mammalia; order Primates; family Hominidae; genus Homo; species Homo sapiens. Next base: position 178,618,771 of record NC_000005.10, on the reverse strand, counting down.
TTAGAAGCAAGGTCCTTGAATGAGCGAGATTATCGGGACCGGAGATACGTTGACGAATACAGGAATGACTACTGTGAAGGATATGTTCCTAGACATTATCACAGAGACATTGAAAGCGGGTATCGAATCCACTGCAGTAAATCTTCAGTCCGCAGCAGGAGAAGCAGTCCTAAAAGGAAGCGCAATAGACACTGTTCAAGTCATCAGTCACGTTCGGTATGATTGGTTTTGTTTTCAATTTGAGTGGAGTTTTATTTGTGTGTACTCTTAACGAGCTGATAAGTTTCTAATTTTTTATATATATATATATAAAATACTATTTGGATATATTATAATTGTATTTATATTACTTAAATCCTTAAAGGAAACCTCCAAATTCTTGTAGCTGATCTGTATATTTATTAGCTAGCCCTCATTTGCCCACATTTCCTCATATTCTGCAGACCAGATAATGAGTTTATTGATTTTAATAATAAAACTATTTTTTTATTTGTAACATATTCTTATGAAAAAATCATGCACCCATATCTTTTCTTTCATCTTAAGCATTTTTTTTTTCTTAGAAACCCTTTATCTGGTACTTGAAAATAAATGTGAAATATTGCACTGGTGGACACCTGAATGTTACTAACCTGCATAGAGCATAGTTCCATAGTCCAGTGCATCATTGTCTGCAATGAATTCTTTTGAAGTTGTGAAAATGGGTGCTGAATGGGAAACATCCAAAAAGTCTGCCCCCCCCTTTTTTTTTTTAACACTCAGACATCTTCACCTGCTTGAACAGTGAACTTTGAATTAGTTTCTCCCCAAGTTTTCTTCAGTAAAACTAGTTTTTATTAGATTGAACATTGAAATTAACTAGCCTTTATTTTCCCCTTTTATTTTAATCATGTATATTTTAAAATATTGCTAAATTAGAATAATTTCAAATAGTCTTGACATTTTAAAACATTTTTCTGAAAAACTAGACATCTCAATTCACAGCATATGCTGTTTATAGCAAGAGATAAGTAAATCATGACATTGCATTCTTTAAATTTCAGACTTCAATTAAATCAGTATTTTAAAGAGACAATTGTGTTGTTTTTTTCTATTGCCACTTTAAGTATCTTATCTGAAAATCTGTTCCTTGCCATGTTTTTCTTCTGTAACATAAACTGTGCCCTGTGAATTTCTGGGGACTGAATTTGAAATTGCTCCTGCCAACTGTTCGTGGCCTGGTGCTTATCTGAATGCCTGAATATCTCCCCGCTGAATGAATTGCGTATTCTGCCCTGAATTCACTCTGATATATTGATTGGCTGGACGATCTTGGTGCTGCCCACTTGCCGTTCCAGAAGAGCCACCGAAGGAAAAGATCCAGGAGTATAGAGGATGATGAGGAGGGTCACCTGATCTGTCAAAGTGGAGACGTTCTAAGAGCAAGATGTATAGAATATTTTTCAACACTTTTTAAACTTTGCAGAAAGAATAATCTTTTTAAGAATAGTTTGTCAGCGGGGGGCTAAAGAACTCTTCATTGCTTTTTTATTTTGCTTTTTGTGGGTTTGTTTGTTCTTTTATATTTCTTCTTTTCTGTAGAATTTAAATATTTCTATTCTAAAGTTCCAAAATAATCAGTGGAATTTGAGATTAGAGCAAGAAAGATAGCTCTATCTAATTGTTTTTGTAGCAGCTGAAACTAAAATAATTTGAGTGCTGAAACCTTAGTTATGCTTTGTTAGAGATCATTTGAAAATATTCCACACTTAAGCATTCATTGTTTGAAGAACTAGACAGTTTGTACTCAGGTACTTACACCTCTTTTTCCCTCCTCACTCTAGATGAAATCGTGGACACTTTGGGTGAAGGAGCCTTTGGCAAAGTTGTAGAGTGCATTGATCATGGCATGTAAGTTTGTTTTTTCCTTTTCAAACATTCTGATGTTTTTGGTGGGGAAAGATTCATAATTCAGATGAAATTTTATTTATTTATTTATTTGAGATAGGGCCTCTGTTGCCCAGGCTTGAGTGCAGTGGTGCTATCTTGGCTCACTGCAACTGCCGCCTCCCGGCTTCAAGTGATTCTCCTGCTTCAGCCTCTCAAGTAGCTGGGATTACAGGAGCCTGCCACCACACCTAGCTAGTTTTTGTATTTTTAATAGAGATGGGGTTTCACCGTGTTGGCCTGGGTGGTCTCGAACTCCTGACCTCAAGTGATCTACCCGCCTCAGTTTCCCAAAACGTTGGGATTACAAGCCTGAGCCCCTGTGCCCGGCCAAGATGGAATATATTTTAAATGGTAGCCACGTGTTTTGGGGGGTAAATTACTCACCAAAGTTTCTTGAACTTTGTATGATTTATTTACCGTGAATGTGGATCTTAAGAATGCTGACTGCCGGGCACAGTGGCTCACTCCTGTAATCGCAGCACTTTGGGAGGCCAAGGCAGGTGGATCACCTGAGGTTGGGAGTTCAAGACTAGCCTGACCAACATGGAGAAATACATTCTCTACTAAAAATACAAAATTAGCCAGGTGTGGTGGCACATGCCTGTAATCCCAGTTGCTTGGGAGGCTGAGGCAGGAGAATCACTTGAACCCAGGAGGGGAGGAAGGCGGAGGTTGCGGTGAGCCAAGATTGTGCCATTGCACTCCAGCCTAGGCAACGAGTGAAAATCCGTCTCAAAAAAAATAAAAATAAAAAAAAAGAATGATGACAAATTTCAACAGGGGGAAATCATTGAAATTAAAGTGGATGTTCAAGTGAAGGAATTTCCCAGAACTCCAGAACTGAGGCCCTTGACCCTGTATATAAGATTTGGCAATTTCGGATTACAGAGGCAATAAAGCATGTCTAATCTTAAATGTTAAGAGTTAGCTTCCTAAACTATAAAGACATTTTATTATCTAGGGCCTAGAGAATAAAGTTTGTGATTTGACCCTTTCTGCCTCATTTTACCGTTTTCCTCTAGGACCTCTATTTTGTGGCTTGAAAACTTTTGTAAGAGAAGCTCTTAGAACTTTTGCGAAACTTCACATTTCTAAAATGACAAAATTTTTTATCATAAATTATTTGGGAAGGATGTAATTTCCAACCTGTTGTAAATATTAATATTAAAAAATAAAACTTACCTCTCTCTAAATGCATTTCAGGGAATCTAAATACCATAGCAGCTTGATACCTACCATCATCCATAAACAAACTCTTCTTGAATACTTAGAAATGTTTTATTATTGAATTTATTGTCATTTCACTTTCCATAAATACTATCCTAAATTATCCCCACATTTTGCTTTTCTGCAACAAATATGTGAATGTAAATTGAACTTTAAAGTATTTTGAAATATTTTCAGACTTACAGAAAAATTGATAAAATAGTTCAAAGAATTCCCATATATTCCAAATGTTAACCTATTTTCCAAATGTTTACATTTTATAAGATTTGCTTTATCATTATACATACATTTGTTTTCAAATTTTGCCAACTAATCTGCAGACTTTATTCAGATTTCACCAGTCATCCCATTAATGTCCTTTTAGAATTTCTTGAAAGTCTAAGTCTTGGTGTATTTAATGAAATGTATCTTAAAAAAAATTTTTTTTTAATGAGATGGAGTCTCACTGTGTTGCTCTGGCTGGTGTGGAACTCCTGGCCTCAAGTGATCCTTCTGCCTCAGCCTCCCATAGTGCTGGGATTACAGGTGTGAGCCTGTAGTCACGTGTGGCACACACCTGTACCACATCTGGCCTGGAATGTTTCCTTTATTGGGGCAGTTGAGGCCTCTAAAAAAATGAGTACATATAGCCATAGATAAATATCTGACTGTCTAGCATTGTATGTTTTCTTTTTTCATTTTCGTGGATACAAGCACTGAGAAAACTTTTTGGTCATATAATTAAATAGATAGGAGTAGAAGCTTTGTCACAGTAATCTTATTAGAGTTCTTTTAAGTCTTGAGGTATATGCCAAGCATTAAAAAATTTTTTTAGTGACTTATCAGTTCACATTCGTTGGGGCCTTGTTGAAAGCAATGAACTGGAAACCACTGGATGTGGAAAAAGGTTTTGTATCCAGCCATTAGAATACGTGTTTGTTTGCCCCAAATGTTTTTATAGCCTAGGGCATACATCCTGTTACACTAGTAAGAGATGGGTATGGTTTTGTAAAGTGGAAGGGTCATAGTGAAAAAGAAGGCTTGAATGCTGGCTCATCTGTAGGTAGATTAGGTTTAAAAAGGAAGACAAAAATAAATTGAAGATTTGCAACATTTATGGCTCTATACTTTTTAGGAAGCATTCTTACAGATGCCGCAGTCTAAAGCCCACTGCCCTCCCCTGTAGCTGTTTCTGTATACTGGCATCAGTGCATCTGCTAAGGTTTTTCTGGGCTTCATTACTTAGAGTTGGGGTCTCCTTTACCTGGATGTTTCCTTCCCAATCTGACAAACTCCCAGCTATCTTTCAGGACTCAGTTCTGTGTCACCTCTTCTGTGAAGAAGTCTAAGTTGTTTCTGTGTCTGTCTTTTCCATTAGACTTTGAAGTACGTAGGGACACACCCCGTCTTTTAATCACTAATATCTGTGCATTGCCTGGCACAGAGTAGGCCTAGCCTGGTAAATGAATGAATGCTTTCAACAGTAGCATATCCTATTTTTGGTTTACATTTGTATATATCTTTTAAAACTGTTGTTGTATAAAATGTAATTAAATTTAAAATTCTAGGAGCAAACGTTAAAACTCATAAGTATTAAGGGAATTATCACTTCATATAAAGTATTTTATCAAAATGTTTTAAGAAGATGTTATATGGAATCTGCTATAATATGTTCTGAAAGATTATTTTAAATGGCATAGAGGAATTGGTAATTAAGACTATGCTTTAGAGCATAACATGGCTTCAGCTCACTCTTGTACATTTATCATTTTTATCTTAATTTTATTTTTAAGGGATGGCATGCATGTAGCAGTGAAAATCGTAAAAAATGTAGGCCGTTACCGTGAAGCAGCTCGTTCAGAAATCCAAGTATTAGAGCACTTAAATAGTACTGATCCCAATAGTGTCTTGTAAGTATAACTTTCACCTAGGAGCCATCATATTACATGAAATATTCAGGTTTCCATAAACTGAATTATTATTTTGCTCTGTTTTAGCCGATGTGTCCAGATGCTAGAATGGTTTGATCATCATGGTCATGTTTGTATTGTGTTTGAACTACTGGGACTTAGTACTTACGATTTCATTAAAGAAAACAGCTTTCTGCCATTTCAAATTGACCACATCAGGCAGATGGCGTATCAGATCTGCCAGTCAATAAATTGTAAGTACACTTGATAAATCTTTATTTTTATTTATTTATTTATTTATTTATTTTGAGACGGAGTCTCGCTCTGTCACCCAGGCTGGAGTGCAGTGGCGCTCTCGGGTCCCAGCAAGCTCAGCCTCCCGGGTTCACGCCATTTTCCTGCCTCAGCCTCCCGAGTAGCTGGGACTACAGGCGCCCACCACCATGCCCAGCTAATTTTTTGTATTTTTAGTAGAGATGGGATTTCACAGTGTTAGCCAGGATGGTCTCGATCTCCTGACCTTGTGATTGCCCCCCTCGGCCTCCCAAAGTGCTGGGGTTATAGGCGTGAGCCACTGTGCACAGCAATAAATCTTTATTTTTAAATATTTTTTATGTTTGTACCTCCTTAACAATTAAGATAAATCTTTAAGCACCAGAAAACTTGTTTTTATTATACAAGCTATATATCCAAATGTTGTCACTAAAAAAACAGACATTTTACAAGTAAAGATGAATCGTCTCTTGACCACTATATCCTTTGCCAGTCCTCCTTTCCCTCCTAGTACAAATTAAGTTTGTAAGTGAAACTAATAATGTGCTTTTGTTCTCTTGTAGTTTTACATCATAATAAATTAACCCATACAGATCTGAAGCCTGAAAATATTTTGTTTGTGAAGTCTGACTATGTAGTCAAATATAATTCTAAAATGGTAAGTTAAAGACTTGTTTTAATTTGGGTGGTTGTCTTTAAAATTAATTTAACTTGATGATCTTTGGATGAGGAATTTCACTTCTGAGCCTTATTATATCCTGTTGTTTAACCAAAAAGAAGTAATCCTTCTTTGCCTTTCTCATGAGCTTACTTTGACAATCAAGAAGATAATTCATGTGCTGGCCTTTTGAGTAGCGCTATAAAATGTATCTATTGAGTTTCATGTTTACTCAACTGTGTCTCTCTAGAAACGTGATGAACGCACACTGAAAAACACAGATATCAAAGTTGTTGACTTTGGAAGTGCAACGTATGATGATGAACATCACAGTACTTTGGTGTCTACCCGGCACTACAGAGCTCCCGAGGTCATTTTGGGTCAGTAGACACCAGGCTTTCTAATATTATAATTGAAGAAGAGATTTTTGTTCTTTACAGCTTTACTGGTGGGGTGGGGAAGTATGATCTTCTCAGCAGGATTCAGAAAACGTTTTCTATTTTCATAAAAAATGTGTGGACATTGCTATAAATACTTTTCCTGAGTGGTAAACATGTGATACTGTCTGGGAAAGATATTCCAGGTGGTGGTTATTTTTGAACAAGTAAATCTTAAATGATCATAAGAGAACAGGCTGTGTTAGCTAAATGCATCAAAGAAATGTGATTTTGAAGTTATATGAGTACCTATTTTCATGCCATCACAAAAGCACATGGCTGGTAAAAATACTGAGGAAACTGGTTGGCAGATGTCTAGAATATAGGATGGATAAAGGTCAAGAGAAGAAAGAGGCTTCTCTAAGAGCTCCTGTGATAACCCTTGATGTGAGAAAGTCTGGGAAAGAAAATGAGTTAAGGTGCAGAGTTTTCAAATAAGAAGGGACTTATTAAGGGAGTGTTATGCCTCAACATTAAAAGTTATAGATCAGGTGTGTTAATAAATCAGGGAAGTCAGAGATTGGCTTGGGAGCTTGGAGACATTGGGAAACATTCAGATCAGGCATATCAAGAGAGTTGAATGTAATAAGCTGATTACTTAGCCTAAAGTTAGGTCCAACTGAGGTTAGATTGTAAAGCATTTTTGTGGAATCGTATTTTAATACTTTTTACTTTTTTTGTGTGTCCAACGGGACTTGGTAGTTCAGAATAGGAGTGTAAAAGCAAACTCTTGATACTTACCTAGAGTAGAGTAGTAAAGGAGTGAGGAAATCAAGAATCCTGTGCAGCTCTTGCCCACAGAACTTCCCTTGATGACGGAAATGTTCCATTTCTGCACTGTCCCATATGGTAGCCACTAGTCACTGTGCGTGACTGACTACCTTGTAGTGGGGCCAGTGTGACTGAGGAGAACTGAGTTTTGAGTTTACATTAATTTTATTTCAGATTTAAACAGCCACATGTGGCTAGTGGTTACCATATTGAACAAGCACAACTCTAGAGCTTGTCTTTTAAATGCGTAATAATAGGGTTTCTGCGTAGTACAAATTGAAAGGAGCTACTGTGTAAGGGTAAAAGAAAGCAATATGGGAAGAGATAGTGGACAGAGAGGTATTTTCAGAGATTAGAAGGCAATAGATTCCTCATTTTAAGAATCAGATTTTTCCCCAAATATTTGGCATTTTTTCTTTGTTATTGGTATATCAAACAGTGGTGCATCGTACAGTGTGCTATCCTAGATTGAGTAAAATATAGTATATAGTAACCCCCCCCTTTTTTTTTTCTTTGAGATGGAGTTTCACTTTGTCACCCAGGCTGGAGTGCAGTGGTACCATCTCGGCTCACTGCAACCTCCACCTCCCAGGTTCGCGCGATTCTCCTAACTCAGCCTCCTGAGTAGCTGGGATTACAGGTGCCCACCACCACACCCGGCTAATTTTTATAGTTTTTAGTAGAGATGGGGTTTCACCATGTTAGCCAGGCTGGTCTCGAACTCCTGACCTCAGGTGATCCTCCTGCCTCGGCCTCCCAAAGTGCTTGGATTACAGGCGTGAGCCACCGCGCCCGGCCAAGGATTTTTTTTTTTTAATTTTTATGTTTTTTATAACAGAGACAGGGCCTCACCATGTTGCACAGGCTGGTCTCGAACTCCTGGGCTCAAGTGATCCGCCTGCCTTGGCCTCCCAAAGTGCTGGGATTATAGGTGTGAGCCACCGCACCCACCAGAATATGGTCAATCTTATTAATAAAGTTCCAAATGTGGCCAAGCAAGGGATAGTACAAATCTGAAATTGGAGTCCCTGGCCTTGAGGAGAAAGAATCAGGAGATTGGGAGAATAGAAAGGTCCTTTGTTTGTGGAGTGAGGATGAAGGCATAATGCAATTGGAGGGGAAAATGTAGTCAGGTGCTAGAGTTGAAGTAGGCAGTTGGCCTTATGTTGGGTATAAAAGCTAACTCATCCAAGAATGAGATGATTTAGAATGGTGTACTGCAGAAGATTACAGTCACCTGGGAAAAGACTAAATTGGGAGATAGGAGTGGTTGAAAAATAAAACTTTTTTTTTTTTTTGAGACGCAGTCTTGCACTGTCACCCGGGCTGGACTGCAGTGGCACGATCTCGGCTCACTGCAACTTCTGCCTCCCGGGTTCAAGCGATTCTCCTGTGTCAGCCTCCCAAGTAGCTGGGCTTACAGGTGCCCGCCACCACGCCCAGCTAATTTTTTGTATTTTTAGTAGAGATGGGGTTTCACCACATTGGCCAGGCTGGTCTCCAACTCCTGACCTTGTGATTCACCTGCCTTGGCCTCCCAAAGTGCTGGGATTACAGGTGTGAGCCACCGTGCCTGGTTGAAAAATAAAACTTTTATGAGGTCCAAGCTCTAGCATTTACGGATTTTGTATGTGTTAATAGGTAGAAACCATGCTCCATTATTTATTTATTTATTTTTTGAGACAGAGTCTCACTCTGTTGCCTGGCCTGGAGTGCAGTGGTGCAATCTCAGCTCACTGCAACCTCTGCCTCCCGGGTTCAAGCGATTCTCCTGCCTCAGCCTCCTGAGTAGCTGGGATTACAAGTGCACACCACCACACCCAACTAATTTATATATATATATATATATATATTTTAAAATTTTTATTATTTTTTATTTTTGTTATTTGTTTATTTATTTTTTTGAGATGGAGTTTTGCTTTTATTGCCCAGGCTAGAGTGCAGTGGCGCAATCTCAGCTTACTGCAACCTCTGCCTTCCGGTTTCAAGCCATTCTCCTGCCTCAGCCTCCCAAGTCACTGGGATTACAGGCGTCTGCCACCACGCCCAGCTAATTTTTTTGTATTTTTAGTAGAGACGGGGTTTCACCATGTTGGTCAGACTGGTCTCGAACTGCCAACCTGGTGATCCACCCGCCTCGGCCTCCCAAAGTGCTGGGATTACAGGCATGAGCCACCGCGCCTGGCCCATGCTCTATTATTATCCATTTGTTCAAATGACAGACACTGGAGCGGATGGTTAACAAAAATGACTTAAGTCATTATATATTGACTTGAATATATTTCTTCTTTTATCTTTAACTTCAGTGATAATGAAAGTAATTGAAATGTCTTTGAATGTAGATTTTATTTATACATTTTTTAACTAAATATTTGATCTTTGAAATATTAAAATATCTATGTGGTTGGTTCTTTCTCCTTCCCAGTCAGTATAGATTTAAGAAGGCTAGATGTTTTATTCTGATCTGAATAATACTGTCATTGAGAATTCTGAAGGAGAAAGTATATAAAATCATGTATAGACAGCGCCGATGTTTATGTATAGATCCCTCTCTGAGCTCCAATGTGTCTGTAATTTCTGCTTATAGGTGAAACTGCTTAAAATTCCCATTATACCTTTTATACAATTTGTGCAAAACGGTAATATTTCTCTTAACGGAAGAAGTAAACTCATGCATCAAGCTGATGATAATTGATAAGGCATTAGTAATTTCATTCTGAGGATAATTATAAACCTGTATTTGTGCTAATAAAATATAAAAATTCTTGGACTAACCATGAACTGAGCATAATAATGGTTTTAACAGCAGTGCTCTCCCATTATATAAACAGTTCAGAGACTATGGAATATTTGCACGAATTGGTTGTATACTTGGAAAATGGTAGCCCCCTTTTATTTTACATAACATGCACCCCTCCCTAGTTAGAATACTGTGTCTTGATGTGAGCATATGGACTATGGAGTGTGTTGAATAGCATTTGCTGTAAAACTAGAACTATAAACCCTGAATTTGGTGTCTTATTCTCCCAAATGGGTTCTGTAAAGGGAGCACTCATATAGGGAAGGATTTAATGTACTGTCAATTAAAAGTTTTTGCATAGTAAAATGTTTCTATTTGTTTTAAAATAGCTTTAGGTTGGTCTCAGCCTTGTGATGTTTGGAGCATAGGTTGCATTCTTATTGAATATTACCTTGGTTTCACAGTCTTTCAGGTACGTGGCTAGTAAATTCCATTTAATAATTCATAACAAATTGTAAACGTTAAAGGTATGCTAAAGTTTTGACTTCCATATTGGAAAATTGCCATACATCATTATTCTTGAGATTAAAACTTAGGCAAAATGGTCATTCTTTAAAACCACAGTTGAATGAAATATTACTATGAGTGAGTGATCATAGTTAATTTTGCATGTGATTAGTGTTTGTAACACATGGTTCATATATGGTTCATACTGTCTCCTTTTTTAAATTGTAGAGCTTCTTCATAAATTTGCAGTAGTGTTAATGTGGCCAGTTTTCAGTTATAGTTATGTTGACTATCAATATGGCCATGAACGAGTCACTTATTCCTTTTTATAAAAGAATTCAGAAACAACAAGGGATTGTATTTTACTCTTAAGTATTAAGCATCTATAATGTCTTAGGCATTTCTAAGTATAAGTACATAAAGGTGAAGAGACAACATCTTTCTCAAGTCATGCAAAAGACATTGGAAAGTTATCGCAGTATAGTGTAGCATTTGCTGTGATGGAACAACGTAGAAAGTGTAGGTAGGGAGGGCCAGGCGGGGTAGCTCACACCTGTAATCCCAGCACTTTGGGAGGCTGAGGTGGGTGGATCATGAGGTCAGGAGATCGAGACCATCCTGGCTAACATGGTGAAACCCTGTCTCTACTAAAAGTATAAAAAATTAGCTGGGCGTGGTGGCGGGCGCCTGTAGTCCCAGCTACTCGGGAGGCTGAGGCAGGAGAATGGCGTGAACCTGGGAGGCGGAGCTTGCAGTGAGCGAGATCATGCCACTGCACTCCAGCCTGGACAACAGGGTGAGACTCTGTTGCAAAAAAAAAAAAAAAAAAAAAAGACAAAGTGTAGGTAGGGAGAACCCAGGAAAGGTTAATAATTACTTTAGAGAAGGCGTCACTGAGAACATAGGAAGAGGAGGAGGAGTTAGAAAACTGGAGTGCAATGGGCATATAAGGAAGAAGAAATAGTATCTGTAAATGCACAGAGGAGTAAAGGAACATATTCTACTCAGGGAAGAATAGCGTTGTCAGAGTGTCTTGTATAAATGGGAAAATTATAACAATAGGCAAGGATCAATTCATAAAAGACTTCGCAAGGTATTGGTTTGATCCTAGAAGTCAGTGGATTCCAAAAGTAGACTGGTCCAAAATGAAAATGGTTGTCTAGGTTTGCCATTCTGACCCTTATTTAGAGATTATCCCTCCTGCTTTTTTTTTTTTTAATGTCTCTTTTATGTAATGATAGTCATAGTTGTTGGTAGTTTGCTTTTAAAAATAAAAAGTCCTTAATTGGTAAAACAAAAAGTAGGAAACTCTACTTTCTTTTCCACTCTGTCCTTAAGTTGTACTTACATCTGAAATCTTAATTTTTTTTTTTTTTTCCCTGAGATGGAGTCTCACTGTGTCACCCAGGCTGGAGTGCAGTGGCGCAACGTCAGCTCACTGCAACCTCTGCCTCCCGGGTTCAAGTGATTCTCATGTCTCAGCCTCCCAAGTAGCTGGGATTACAGGCACGAGCCACTACACCCCACTAATTTTTTGTATTTTTAGTAGAGGGTTTTGCTGTGTTGACCAGGCTGGTCTCGAACTCCTGACCTCAAGTGATCTACCCTCCTTGGCCTCCCAAAGTGCTGGGATTACAGGTGTGAGCCACCGCACCCAGCCTGAAATTTAAATTCTTGAAAGCTTTAGGTGATGCAACCATTGAAGAACTTTAAATAGGGTCATGGTATGATCGAGGTGTTGTGTTGTTTTGTTTGGGGAAGAGGGGCTGGAGATCCCAGCTAGTACTGTTGAGGTTGATTTGAAGTTAGAGCAGTGCAGGGGGCATGCAGCTATGATGGGCTAAGAGTCACTTAGGCAGCTGTTGCACAATGATGAATTCCCTGTTCGTGGGGCACCTCGCCAGATTTCTGTTTCTGTCTAATCTGTAGAGATCCTGTTGAAAAGTACTCTGAGTTTATAGATAAGTTTGATGTCTTAGAATCATGGTTATTAATCAGTTCTGGGAGGTATTGTCTGGTTTTGCAGTGGTGAGCTGTAGGGTCAAGAAAAAGTTAAGCAAAGTGAATGCTTTCATCAATCTGACTAATATGAAATGGATGCTTCCGGTGATTTTGTGATTATAAATCACTTTGAGTTTTAAATGAAGTATATATTATTTGAGAGGTGGTTTATATTTTAACTCCACCCTGCAAAATACTCTTAAACTAAGGAATTTCTTTAAAATGTGAAGCTAGTATTACTTATTCCTGTCATGTATCACAACGATTTGGAAGCAATATGCAAGGCACAGTAGTTGATAGATTTCTTTTAAAAGTGTTGCATACAGCCTCTGCTCTCCAGAACAAGGGTTAGCAAACTTTGGCCCATGGTGAAATCCTGCCTGGTGCCTGTTTTTACAAAAAGAAGAAGAGTATGCAATAGGGACCACTCATGACGAGCCAAGCCTAAAATATTTACTATCTGGCCCTTTACAGAAGTTTGCCAACCTCTGCTCTAGAAGCATACCATTCCAGCTGTAAGTTTGACCGTTTTCTGTATTCTACTTCAGCCAAGCCTCCGTTACTAATTTAAGGATATGTGCTTTGACATGGGTTGATAGCTTAACTTTCCTCATATATGAGCTATATGACTTTGAGGTAGTATCTTAACCTTTTTGAAATTCATGTTCCCACATACCTAGCTCAGAATTGTTTAGAGAATTATTGGGACTGTATGTATGTCTGTTGCCTGGGAGTAGTAAGTGTTAACAAGTGAACTATTCATTGGGTACTGGATGTTAATTTTGGTTAAGCAGCTGATTAAATGAGGAGACAGTTTTTCTGGTAACCTTGCCCAGTTATTCTTTAAACAGTGTAAGAAGTGCAAATAAAGAAGGAAACTAAAATTTTAGATTAAACAAGTTAATGTGTTTGTAGGGAAATGGAGAGTACTAAATTTCTTTTTCTTACATGTTTTAGACTCATGATAGTAAAGAGCACCTGGCAATGATGGAACGAATATTAGGACCCATACCACAACACATGATTCAGAAAACAAGGTATGTTTTAAGATTCAAGACTTTTGTTGGATATGTGCAATAGCATATATTCAAACTACAGAAAACCCAACGTTGTTGTAATACTGATTCCAAGGACTATAGATTTTGACTTTTTTTTTTTTTTCTGTACTGGAGGTAACTTCTAACTTCATCTTACTCCTTTTTTTTTTTTTGAGATGGAGTCTCACTCTGTCACCCAGGCTGGAGTGCAGTGGCACGATCTCAGCTCACTGCAGCCTCTGCCTCCTGGGTTCAAGTGATTCTTCTGCCTCAGCCCCCTGAGTCGCTGGGATTACAGGTGCCCACCACTATGCCTGGCTAATTTTTGTATTTTTAGTAGAGATGGGGTTTCACCGTGTTAGTCAGGCTGGTCTTGAACTCCTGACCTCAGGTGATCTGCCTGCCTTGGCCTCCCAAAGTGCTGGAATTACAGGTGTGAGTCACTGCACTAGGCCATGTTTTTAAAAACTAATATAATAAAAAATATTTACCTTGTGATCTAGTGCAGGGGTCCCCAACCCCTCGGAACTGGGCTGTACAACAGGAGGTGAGTGGCGGGTGAGTGAGCATTATTGCTGCCTGAGCTGCACCTCCTGTCAGATCAGCAGTGGCATTAGATTCTCATAGGAATGTGAACCCTATTGTGAACTGCGCACGTGAGGGATCTACGTTGCATGAAGGTTCCTTATGAGAATCTAATGCCTGATGATCTGAGGTGGAAGTTTGATTCCAAACCATCATCCCTCCTCCCCGGATCTGCTTCCATGAAACCGGTCCCTGGTTCCAAAAGGGTTGAGGACCACTGATCTAGTAAACAAAATGGCTTTTGGGTTTTTTTTGTTTTTTTTTTTTTTTTAACTCAAGTTTACGTTTGCATAAGTGTTTTCTTAAGGCGATGTAAAAATAATACATAGAATATGGAAAAGCTTGTGTTTTGGAATCATATCACTCTAAGTGTGAAATTTATTCTGTCCTTAACCAGCTGTATATTCTTAGACAAGGTGGTATTTCCAAACACAGCTTCATCGCAGAAGCCACCGAGGGAGTTCTTTAAAGATTTCCAGCCCCATTCTAGATCTAGTGAAAACAGAATTTTAGGACTGGATCCAGGGGGCCCCTAGTTTTAAGCTGACATTGTTCCATATGTGATAGGAACAACTTAGTTGAGAGACTAAAACCTCACAGGGTGGAGGATATGAGGTGTCCGATATATAATTGTTGCTGAGGTTTTTAAAAATTGTATGCATCTATATTATATAAGTCTATACACTTAGAGAGAGCTGCTTTCCATGTCTCCCCTCATGGGTGCAGGGTAAAGATACGACTCTTGTTATTTTACTAATCCAGACTTTTTTTTTTTTTCTGTAGAAAACGCAAGTATTTTCACCATAACCAGCTAGATTGGGATGAACACAGTTCTGCTGGTAGATATGTTAGGAGACGCTGCAAACCGTTGAAGGTAAAAGAAAAAAGATTAAAGGTTAAATAAACCACGTGTTTGCACTATTAATAATTTTTTTTAAAACAAAAACATTTCTCCCCCAGGAATTTATGCTTTGTCATGATGAAGAACATGAGAAACTGTTTGACCTGGTTCGAAGAATGTTAGAATATGATCCAACTCAAAGAATTACCTTGGATGAAGCATTGCAGCATCCTTTCTTTGACTTATTAAAAAAGAAATGAAATGGGAATCAGTGGTCTTACTATATACTTCTCTAGAAGAGATTACTTAAGACTGTGTCAGTCAACTAAACATTCTAATATTTTTGTAAACATTAAATTATTTTGTACAGTTAAGTGTAAATATTGTATGTTTTGTATCAATAGCATAATTAACTTGTTAAGCAAGTATGGTCTTGATAATGCATTAGAAAAATTAAAATTAATTTTTCTTTTTGAAATTACCATTTTTAAATACCTTTGAAATATCCTTTGTGTCCAGTGATAAATGTGATTGATCTTGCCTTTTGTACATGGAGGTCACCTCTGAAGTGATTTTTTTTGAGTAAAAGGAAATCTTGACTACTTTATATTCTTAAAGGAATATTCTTTATATACTTCAAATTTAGAACTTAACTTTAAAAGTTTTTCTTCTGTAATTGTTGAACGGGTGATTATTATTAACTCTAGATAAGCAGGTACTAGAAACCAAAACTCAGAAAATGTTTACTGTTAGAATTCTATTAAATTTTAAGTGTTGTATTCTTTTTCATTGGGTGATGTCAGGGTGATAACCAGACATTCATGGAAAGGCATGCAGTTTGTCCATTGTGACAGTTTGTTTAATAAAACCACATACACACTTTATTTAAGATTAAAATCTAACTGGAAAGTCAGCTTGGAAAATGGACATTTCCAAGTATGTTTGGTGAGTCACAGATATAAAAATAGAAATTCTGATGAGAGGTTTCAGTTTTTAATACCAAGTCCTTAGGAGTCTTAACATTGGCCAGCATCTGTTTATCAAATGACATAAATACGTAAACCTATAAGAATTAAGTTTATTAATTAGGCAATTTATGTCTGTGATAATTCTTACGGGAGAAAGAGGATTTGATTGGAAAGCAGTTTGGGAAGAAAGTGCTGCTGAAATTTCCAGAATTTAATTGATTGGTTACATAAACTTTTTGACTTCAGCGTTTGTTGTTGTTGTTCTTTTACTGTCCTTGTTTTCACATAAAAACTATATGGAGCCAGGCACAGTGGCTCACGCCTGTAATCCCAGCATTTTGGGAGACCGAGGCAGGCGGATCACCTGAGGCCAGGAGTTTGAGACCAGCCTTGCCAACATGGTGAAACCCTGTCTCTACTAAAGATACCAAAAAAGTGCTGGGTGTGGTGGCGGGCGCCTGTAATCCCAGCTACTCTGGAGGCTGAGGCATGAGAATTGCTTGAATCCAGGAGGCGGAGTTTGCAGTGAGCTGAGATTGTGCCACTGCACTCCAGCCTGGGCGACAGAGCGAGACTCCGTCTCAAAAAAAGAAAAAACAAAACAAAACAAAAACCCGGTATGTGGTAAATTACTTAATTGGGCAAAAGAAAAAAATGTCTGTTGCTATGGTTCAGTCAGCCAGGTAGGAATATTTTTTGTTGTAGAATTCCTAAGTGCTTATTTCCAGATACAGGTGAATTTTTGTTAAAAGTATCCCTGTTTCATAAGTGCATTACACAAATATTGGAGTTTTATCTGTTTAGGTTTTGTTTTTTTTTTAGACTGAGTCTTGCTCTGTTGCCCAAGTTGGAGTGCAGTGGCGTGATCTCGGCTCACAGCAACCTTCTTCCTCCTGGGTTCAAGCGATTCTCTTGACTCAGTTTCCCGAGTGGCTGGGATTACAGGCATGTGCCACCAGGTCCTGCTAATTTTTGTATTTTTAGCAGAGGCAGGGTTTCACCATGTTGTCGAGGCTGGTCTCAAACTCCTGACCTCAAGTGATCTTCCTGCCTCGGCCTCCCAAAGTGCTGGGATTAAAGGCATGAGCCACTATGCCTGGCTAATCTGTTTATGTATTTTAAACATAAAATGCATGGGATTTTCTTGTAGGACAAATAATGAAACCAAGCTTGGTTTTCTATGTTACTTAGGGGCAACATTTGTCAATACAGTAAGGCTGTGTTCCTAAAGTAGACTAGGAGTTTAAGAAAGCTGAAACAAAAAGTTTATTGTAGAATGACTGCATACATTATGTTTAGGCCTCTGATATAGTCCAAATACAGTGACTTTATTTCAGAATAGTTGAACTGTATGTGATAATTTTTTTAAAGAAGCATTTGATGTTTAAAAACAAGGTTTTTCCTGAGTTTACCAGTGTAGCCCTACAGATTAAGGTGTTTGCTATCCTTTATTTTCCCCTTCATTTTATTTTTCCACTGCCATTGTACTACCCAAGCCTCCTGTCCTTTCCCCCAATAAGTGCTTCAAGTTCCCAAATTAGTGTTTACTTTCTATGAAAAACTCAGAGTAGCTGATCTCAGGATATAGGAGGAAAGAAAAATATTCACATTATTTCTTACTAAGAAGTTATTGATTGCTAACCCCCTGTCTCTTCTGAAAATTTACGTTCTTCACAAAGGGTATTTGCTAATTTCTAGGCCTAATTCATGGAATTTCGGGAATTAAAACGAAACTTTAAAAAATTAGGATAGATGCAATGCTTAGAGGTTAGGGCAGTACCTCTGGGATCATTGAGTGTCTTTTGTCAACCTTCCTTCCCCTCTTCTTTGAGCTTTCAAGTTCCTACTCTTAATTGCCTTTTTTCCTTGTATTTCTGAACTCATTTTGTCAAGTTCCAAGGTTTTTTGTTTTTTTTTTTTTTTTGACAGTGCCTTGAGCTTCAACACTAAAAGGGAAAAAGATTTAGAATGGCCAATGCACATGAATCCTTTGTAATTTAGGTATTTTTCTTAATAATTTGATACCTCATAGAATTACTATTTCTAGAAATTCCATTGAATTGTTTCTAGAAATTCCATTGAAGTCAAGCTTGATTTTTTTAGGAGGCATTTGTAAAGTGCAGCTAAGTAGATTATTTCCAGCTTGCTGCTGCTGCTCATTTTCTTGAGGTTTTTTTTCATCCATGCATTCATGAAAATTTTCAGAGTAGTTGAATTCAATTGACTCCTGCTGACAGCAAGGGGACAAACTACTAACAATTTTATACTTCATAAAATTGAAAACTACTCCTCTGAGTACTCTAGAAGGGCTGTATACTAGAGAAATTGGAAGTGACTTGGCCAAATCTCCCAGTAATTGTGACTTAAATTCAGGTTTGCCAGATTCTACCATTGTGCTTTCCTGTAATAATACATTGAGTCAGAATGATCAGTTTGACTTCTTATTCACAGCTCTACTCTGAAATGACTCCGAGTGAAATGGAATAATAAAACCCAGGTTTTTGGTGGGTGCGGTGGCTCACACCTGTAATCCCAGCACTTTGGGAGGCTGAGGCGGGCGGATCACGAGGTCAGGAGATCAAGACCATCCTGGCTAACACAGTGAAACCTTGTCTACTAAAAATATAAAACATTAGTTGGGCGTGGTGGTATGCGCCTGTAGTCCCAGCTACTCGGGAGGCTGAGGCAGGAGAATCTCTTGAACCCAGGAGGCTGAGGTTGCAGGGAGCCGAGATCGCGCCACTGCCCTGCAGCCTGGGTGACAGAGTGAGACTCCATCTCAAAAACAACAACAACAACAAAAAAACCCCAAAACCCCCAGGTTTTTATTACTTGTATTTCATTTATTCAAAATTTTCTTTACTCAGTTAAACATTGCATGGCCATTTGAAAACTTCTATTTTAAATGATAGGCAGATACCAATATTTAAGTCTTAACTTTGACATCCTGGAATGAAGAAACACTTTGGAAGTAGGAGACGTGGGTTTTTAACTGTCTTCCAGTTTCAAAATCCTGATTCCCACAAAATTTGGTGCAAGTGAAATACTTTACACATCTAGTACTTGATTAACAAAAGCTACATTTTCAAATATTGTAGTCAGAAGAATTCATTATCAATAATAGCCGACAGTTGTAGTCTTAGTAGAGTTCATATTTGCAAACAATTCTAATTCTTAAAGGTTTTTTTTTTTTAATCATTTGATCACTGTTTTTAAGAATTTGATCTCTCCACCCAAATCCCTAAAAGGTCTTAATATAGTTTTTTGAATGTGGTTGGTTGATTGGTTTTGTTGGAGTTCATTTTGTTTCTTTATAGAGATGGGGTCTTGGTTTGTCACCCAGGCTGGATTGCATTGGTGCGATCATAGCTCACTGCAGCTTCAGACTCCTGGGCCCAAGTAATCCTTTCACCTTAGCCTCCCAAAGTTGCTGGGATTACAGGCATGAGCCACTGTGCATGGCCTGTTACGTTTTTCAAGTAAAGGGAATGTAACGTTCAAAAGTCAGGTTAGTTTTATAATTGTCAATCCAGCCTTTTGGAATATAGTTAAAAGAGTAAATTCCCCTAATATGAATATACTCTGTTTAAGTCATTTGAGAGAGTTGGCCAGTTCTATATTAGGGATTAATTTTTAAAAAATAGAATGCAAAAGTCAAACAGAATAATGAATTTCTATATACATAAAGCCCAGCTTCAAAAATTAAAAACATTTTGCAAATTTTGTTCCTTTCCCCCAACTTAATTTCCCTGTTGTATTTAAATACAAATGCCAGATACCATATTATGTCACTCATTTTTTTATTATGAGTTTTAATCATTTTAATTAAAATAATTTGATAAATTATTTTTATTTTAATTATGAAATAGTAACAATATGGTATCATAATATGGTATTTCATTCCTAAAATATTTTTAACAGATAAGTTTTTTCTCATAATGTCACTATCATATCTAACAAAATAATTATTTGTCTGATATTCAGTCCATATTTAAAGTTTCATGAATGTCTGAAGAAAATGCCATTTATAGTTGATTGGTTTGAATCAGGATCCAGTCAAGATAGGGGACTAGAAGAATGAATGTCACTATGATGAAATGTTGAATATGGGAAATGCTTTAAGACAAATGACCCAGTTTTATTACCAAAAAAGTAGAATGAGGTTGGAAGTGGAGAATATACATACAATGATTAAGAGCCCTGAGACATAGTAGCATGTGTGGGCTCTGGTCCCGATTCAGACAAATTGACTATAAAATGATATTTTTAAGTGGAATTTATTCTAATAAATACAGTAGGGATGTTAGACAATATTGCAACTTTTAATAAAATAATGGATCCAGGCACCTAATCATCATCAGATGCGGAATCATTGGGTGAAAATTGGAGGATGTATTAGTCCATTTTTACACTGCTATAAAGATACTACTCGAGACCTCGTAATTTATAAAGGAAGGAGGTTTAATTGACTCACAGTTTTGCATGACTGGGGAGGCCTCAGGAAACTTAACAATCATGGCAGAAGGGGAAGCAGGCACATCTTACATGGCGGCAGGAGAAAGAGAAGTGAAGGGGAAGGAGCCCCTTGTAAAACCATCACGTCTTGTGAAAACTCACTATCATGAGAACAGCGTGGGGGAAACTACCCCCATGATCCAATCACCTCTCTCCCTTGACACATGGAAGTATATTTCGAGATGAGATTTGGGTGGGGACCGGGAGCCAAACCTTATCAGGGGACTTTATCAGGAGGATTGGGCTGGCAATGCCTGAACTCAGTGATCAGTCACAGCCTAAGATTGATAACCTGATGGTGTACTTCTTGAGGTGATGAAATGAGAAGTACGCAGCACCTGTGACGTATCATTTTCTTAAAAAGTTGTACCTGGGATTAAGCCTCTAGGTTGAAGCTGTAATATAAAGGTTTTAGCTCTTTCTGCCTTTCATTTCTTATTTATCATCTACTTCCTTGAGGTAGCAGCTTAGTGTATTGAAAGGACTTGGATTTTTTGCACCATGGTTAGAACCTTAGTCCCAGATCCTCTCTGACACTCAACCAAGTAAAGTAATTTTACTTTGTTACTTGGGGTTACTTAGAAGTAATATCCATGTTACAGCGTGATTAAAATCATCTAGCAGATTACCTGGCATTTGGTAGTTCCACTAGGAAATAGCAGTTATTTTTTCTATAAATGTTTTAAACCCAATTTGTTTGTTTGTTTGTTTGTTTTTTCTTGAGACAGAGTTTTGCTCTTGTTGCCCAGGCTGGAGTGCAATGGTGCGATCTCGGCTCACTGCAACCTCCGCCTGCCGGGTTCAAGCGATTCTCTTGCCTCAGCTTCCCGAGTTGCTGGGATTACAGGTGTGTGCCACTACGTCCAGCTGATTTCTGTATTTTTAGTAGGGGTTTCAACATGTTGGCCAGTCTAGTCTCGAACTCCGGACCTCAGGCGATCTTACCTGCTTTGGCCTCCCAAAGTGCTGGGATTACAGGCGTGAGCCACTGCGCCTGGCCAACTTCTTGTTTTTCAAGTAATGTTAATTGTTCTTGATGGCACCAGAAATTACTGTCAAGAATTCTGTTTTTGATCCATTAACAACCCAGTTTTTATTGCAGCATTTCACTGAAATTGGAAGGAGTAGAACTTTCAAAGAAATTTGTATTTAACAATCAAGTATGTTCACTATTCAGATTTTTTTTTTTTTTTAACATTCACTCCTTTTTTGGTTTTAACAGTTACAATTCTGGGGAGAAATCATATCTAATTAAAAGACTGAGGAGGCTAGGCACAGTGGCTCACGCCTGTAATCCCAGCACTTTGGGAGGCCAAGGCGGGTGGATCACTTGAGGTCAAGAGTTTGAGACCAGCCTAGCCAACATGGCAAAACCCCGTCTCTACTAAAAATACAAAAATTAGCTGGGTGTGGTGGTGGGTGCTTGTAATCCCAGCTACTCGGGAGACTGAGGCAGGAGAATCGCTTGAACTTCGGAGGTGGAGGTTGCAATGAGCCGAGATTGCACCATTGCACCCCAGCCTGGGCAACAAGAGCAAAACTCCATCTCAAAAAAAAAAAAAAAAAGACTGAGGCATAGATTTAATAAAGAACACCTGAATTAAATACCCTTTGAGGCTGGAATGTCATAGGCCAGCAGTCAGTGTAACAAAATGAAGTAAAGTTTAATAGATTTTTGGAAGATCCCCCTGCCCCAGCCACTCAGGTGACTTAAAAATTTTTCCATTATAAACAGTTTTTAAAGCAGAAAAAATCAAGTGTCTTCAAAAGCTTCTTGGTTTACCCCTAGCTAAAGACAACATGAGGAAGTACGGTTTTGAGAATGACCAAAGCAAGCCTTTATGATATTTAGAGTATCTCGTTGATAGGGAAGTTTACTTTTAAAAGACCTCACTATTTATACTTTTCAGATTACTCTAGAAACATTTAAATATTTAGAGTGTCCTCACAACAACTACATGAGAACAATATGGTCTGCTTACCAGCAGAGTTCGTTGGATTCAGACTCTGTTGTCACCTGTATTATGTGGACAAGTTACATAATCTCTCTAGTCTCCTCTTCTTTGAAGTGGTGTACTAACAACTTCCTGAGGGTTGTGAGGATTAATTGAAATCATTTACATAAAGTGCTAGTGAATAGAAGCTATTATTTTCACCGTTTCTTGATCTATTCCCCCTAGGTTTATACAGTATTCTATAGCCTACAAATAATTTTCCTGTTATTTTGCTTTTCACCCTATAGGAATTATATAAATGAGTGAGTGCAAATAGAGATTATCTCGATTTTAATGTTAGCACAATACCTTTTTCTATGTGTGTACTTTTAATTTTTTGTGTCTTTAAAATGTTTCTTATAGGCAGTATACAGTTGGATATTGCTTTTTTATCCTATCTAACAATCTTTGCCTTTTAGTTATGTTTGGACCACTTACATTTAGTGTAGTTGTTGATGTGGTTTGGTTTAGATCTGCCATCTTGATATTTTCTGTTCCATTTGTTCTTTATTACTATTTTCCTCTTTCTCTGCCTTATTTTGGATTATTTTTCTGTAACTCCACTTTATCTCCTTTGCTGGCTTATTAGCTATAACTATTGTGTGTGTTTAGCAGTTGCGTTAGAGTTTATAGTATACATCCTTGTTAAAAACCGTCCATGTTAAAAACCCACTATATATACATACATATCTATATACGTATATGTGTATACATACGTATATATGTATATATGCATGTGTATATGTGTGTGTGTATATATATAGCTTTAAACCATTGATTATCTTTAAAAGAGATTTAAATAATAAGAAAAGAAGCCTATATTTACCCACAGAGTTAGTATTTTCTATGCTCTTCAGTCCTTGTGTAAGTTCATATTTCCATCTGGCATGGTTTTCCTTCTGCCTGAATTACTTCCATTAACATTTTTAAAATTGTGGGTCTGATGGTGGATGAATTTTTTCAGCTTTTGTATGTCTAGAAGTCTCTCTTTAGCCTTTGTTTTTTGAAAGGTAATTTTGCTGGGTATAAAATTCTAGGTTGACAAAAGATGTTGCTTACCTATCTTCTGGGTTGCATTGTTTCCAACAAAGAAATCTGCTGTTATCCTTGTTACTGTATTTGTGTCTCTTTTTCTGGTTACATTGTTTTCTTTTGCTCATTTCAAGCATTTTGATTATAATGTGGCTTGTGCAGTTGTCTTCATGTTTCTTGTGCATGGGTTTCTTGAAATTATTGGATATGTGTGTGGGTTTATAGTTCTTATCAAATTTGGAAAAGTTTTTCAGCCATTATTCAAACATTTTTTTCTGCCCTCTTCCCCAGGGACTCCAGTTATACATACATTAAGCCACTTGAAGTGATTGCACAGATCACTGACGCTCTTCATTTTTTTGTCTTTTTCTCACTGTTTCATTTTGCTTATATTGATATATTTTTAAGTTCATTGATCTTTTGCCCCAAGTGTCTAATTTGCCTTTAATGTGATCCAATGTATTTTTCACCTCAAACATTATCGTTTTAATTTCTAGAATTTTAAGTCTTTTTAAAAGATATCTTTCATACCTCTACTTAACATGTTAAATCTTCCCTTTAGTTCCTTGAACATATGGAATACAGTTACAGCTTTTAATAGCTTTGCTTACTACTAATTCTGTTATCTCTGTTATTTCTGGGTTGGTTTTGATTGATTGCATTTTCTTCTATTATGGGTCATATTTTCTTGCTGCTTTGCATGCCTGGTAATTTTACCTTTTGTTTTACCTTATTGGGTAAAATTCTGTGTGCTTTATTGTGGGACATGATTAAGTATTTGAATTAGTTTGATCTCTTCAGGTTTGGGTTTTAAGCTTTGTTAGACAGGACCAGGGCAGCAATTAGTCTAGGGCTAGTATTTTCCCCACTACCGAGGCAAAAACCTTTTGAGTACTCTACCCAGCGTTCTCTGAGTTACCAGATTTTCCACACTGGTTGGTAGGAAGAACTATGCCTGGCTTTGTGTGAGCTGTGGGGTTTGTAGAGTCTAATCCTTTTGGGTTATTCCGTCCTGGCCTCTGGTAGTTTCCCCACACATGGATGCTGGTGAGTCCTCAGGTGAAGGCTTCAGGGGGACCAGCTGCAGATCTCTAATTCTCTGTGCAGCTCTTCCCTCTCCTGTCCTCTCCTCTGTAAATTCTAACTGCTTTGGCCTCCCTGGACTCAGCTTTCTCTCTTCACCTTCAGCTGGCTCTACCTGCACTGTGTCCTGGAAAATCTCTCCAGAGTAGGAACCCAGGGCAGTCCTTGGGTTCACTTTGTTTCCTGTCTCCAAAGGATCACTGGCCTTTAATGCCTGATGTCTGGTGTCTCGAAAACTGCTGTTTTTATACAGTTTTTTTTTTTTTGGCTTTTTAGTTGTTTTAAATAGTCAGATAGTAAATCTGGTCCATGTCAACATCTCTGTTTTAAAAACAAAAAGGTGGCCAGGCATGGTGGCTCACCCCTGTAATCCCAGCATTTGGGAGGCCGAGGCAGAAGGATTGCTCGACCCCAGGAGTTCAAGAGCAGCCTGGGCAATATAGCGAGACCCCCACCTCTAAAAAAAATAATAATAATAAATAAATAAATAAATAAAAAGTGAGGGTCTATAGCTTGTTTCAGTTTATACTGTGAGATATTAGTGAAGCCAGAACTAGAATCTGGGCATTGAATCAAAACCTGGTGCCTTTTTTAACATTGCCTTCTTAAAAAAATTTTTTTAAATAACATTACCTTATATAAAAAAAACACAACACCCTTTGCTATCCCTTTAAACCTTGTGGCTTAATTTAAACAATTTTCTGCTGAAAATTTTTATAAACTGGATTACATATCCATGCCTTCTTGAACAGCAGTTTGAACATATTTGAACCTTTTCATTATTAACATTCCTTCTTCAGTGGTTGTCCATCCTATCTGACCCAAATAATCCCTATTTTATAAAATAGTTTGATATGCTCCCTTTATCTCCAAGAGTCTGAGCGTTTGTAGATCATCAGGTCAGGGTTGCTACACATTTTTGTTCCAGTTGCAATTGGGCAAAGGCGTACCATGAGGTGCCTGGCCTATTCTTTCCTGCACCCTGTATGAAAGCAGCCCTACCTCTTCCTCCTCATTAGGGTCAATTGCCTCTGCCAAATGGTGCTGTCTTGATTTCAGGTCCCTATATACAGAGTTCAAAGTGCCCTGGGTGGCAGCAATAGCTTATAGTTTAATGGAACCCCTACTGTGTCCCCTGGCAAGAATGTAACCCCTTTGAGAACTAGGACCTCCAACTCTCTAACAGGAAGCATAACATCCCCCATGGGGTCATGGGGAGGGATGGCTAGTGCTTCTACCTGTGGGTTCATGGACTCACGTATTCTTACTGGGAGCACAGCATCATATAGAGGTTCCTGATTTAACACACACACTACATCCTGAGAGATGGCACTAAATCCTTCAGGGAGTGGCCCCTGAGCTGGTGCTTCATCTGTGCCTTCAGAAGGCAGTTCCAGTATTCTGTGAGGCTGGTTGCTCCTGACCAGTGCAGGATGCAACACAACCAGTGGATTCCTTGGTCCATGGGTTCAGCCCCAGACCTTTACTGTAAAATGGGTGCCCTGGTTGGGTGTGGTGGTGTGTGAGATCCTGTACCTGTGGGTTGGGCATTCTGTAAGGATAGCAATGCTGGCTGAGGCTCTGCAGGCAGGAAAGACAAGCCCACACCTGGTGCTGTCCCTGTGAGGGGCAAACCATTGGTCCTTGCAGGAAGGAGGGAATCCAAAGTAGCTGTTTTGCCACCACGTGGCCAGTTAGTCTGCCTGAGGAGTACCTTGTTTAGTCTATTGCTGACAGGTTAGCCATTCATAGGCAGCAGTAGCGGGATTGGTGTAAGTGCTGTCTACCTGTTAGGTGATGCTACACACGATAGGTTAGTGGATATTCTTTTATTCCCCCTCAAGATCTGCCCTTCTTCCTTCTGCCTCTGCTCTCTGCCCTCTAGGAGGCTGGCCCCTGCCCTGGAGGTTTGGTCATTGGAAGGCCCCAGTAGATCAGAGAGCAGGAGAGAGCAGTTGAGTATTTATTCTGTGAGCTCCCTCCCTTTCAAGCCATGGCTTTGCAGAGGCTGTTCCCCTTAACCAAGGGCCACAGGTGCTGTGGAGCAGCCCTCTTCTATAGCTCCAAGTTCCCCAGGGTTCCCAGTTAGGGATGGTAATGGCCTCCCACTGTCAATACCCGCAGAGTGCTGCTTCGGCCTCCCCTGCTGGCCCCTCTGATCTCCACTTTGTGAAGTGGCTCTACATTCAGGCTGTCTTGAGTCACCCTCTCTGAGGATGCCATCTATTCTTCCAGGACCCTAATGGACACAAGTAAGTCATTTTCTTTTTCGCCTTTTAGAATGAGTTGCAGACAGTATTTCCATCTTAATTCAGCCGCCCCAATTCCCTGATTAATCTTGTGGGCCACCTTAAATTGGGCAGTCTGGGAAGATCTTTTAGAAGCAGTGAGGTTGAGGACCTTGACCTGGAGGATGAGGAGGGGCTTGCCGTTTAACGATCTGAGAGCAGGAATGCAGGTAGTGAGGTGGTAGGCAAGGGCAGAGGCCCAGGGGCCAGTGAGCTTGGCTTTTTCAATACACAGAAGCTTCAGGAACATGGCAAACAATACATGCAGTAACATTAACATAGGTAGGTGGTGTGCAGTTTATGTGCCTGTAAGAAATGTAGTGCTGACTTGTAAGAGGGTGTTGGCCTCTTTTCAGAATGAGGCCAACTTTTCATTCTATTGGGCATACACCAGACTTTAGCACAGAGCCAAGTCTATCAACCATAACCCCCGGCCATCTCAGGGGTTCCCCTCTGAATTAAGGGAAGGAGATGGAACATGTTAGCCAGAGGCACTCAACAGTTCTAAAAGGTGAGTATCCACAGAAATGAGACAACCAGAAGATATCCAGAGTGAGAGGGAAGATGGATATAACGTTATTTTTCTTAAAAAAAAATGGTTGGGGGGTTACTCAAATCACAAAGATCTGAACTGCTGGTTTGTTGTTTCATTTAGGTATTACAGGAGTTAGCGAAAGAGTTACTTGGGACCCATTTAGGACATGAATATGCCTGGTAGGAATCTGAACCCAGCCTGACTTCCAGCAGTTCTTCCCTTTCCTGCCAAGACTTGTTAGTGCCACTCATTCTGTTCTCTGGACCCAGGCTGTACGCCACAGCCTTCTTGCCTCAGCCCTGTGATTTAAATTTGCAGCAGAATCGCAGTACAGGTTAAGTGTGGTGCATACTAGATCATAATTTTTGGCCAAGTTGTGCGTCTAATACAGAATTAAGTCATCAGTTGAACAAGACTTGAAGTTCATTTTCTGAATCTTTCCCATTCGTTATAGTCTCAGTTTTCTCAAAAGCCCTCTCCAGGCCAGAAACAGTCTTACCATTTTTGTTTCCCGCACCGAAGTCCGGCAGCTAAGAACTCGTGAGAAGATTCTAAGGGGCGTATTTCTGTTTGGCGCAATCTCGACCCTGCCTCTCTAAATGTGAGTGCGCAGAGGTCGCTTTCCGCCACGAAGCGGCGCTAATCCACCACCGAGGACAGACCCACTCAGTTTTTTGCAGGATTTGAAGTTTTGAACTTTTACAAGTGTCAGAAAGGTAATTCACAAGTTTAGAGGAATGTGCTAAGGCACGAGTGGTGGGTGCTCCAGCCAGGGGTGGGCTGCAGAAGGGGCGCGGTGTCGCCGGGCTCCCCTCCGACCTCTGGGGTCCACAGTGCGGGCTTGGGCTGGGGAAGCCTCAGAGGTGCGTGCGGGGGCGGGTGCCGGCGCCCGGGCTAGGTGAGGGCAGAGGTGCGCGCTGCGCGTGGGATCAGCCCGGCGCCGACGGGTGGCTCCGAGGAGCTCGCTCCTTCCTCGCCCCCGCCCCCTCGCCGCGCGGGGCCAGCCCGGCCGCTCCTCCCCTGGGTGGGTCCCTGCTCCTTTTCTGGCAGGGTCTATTTGCATAGAGGAAACTGCCCAAAGTGGCCGCTGTGGAGGAGCTGGCTGCGGCGAAGGGGGCGTGCGCGGCGATCCGCTGCTACCCGGAGGCTAACCCCCGCGCCCGGCGGACCTCGTGCCTCGGGCTGTCCCGCCTGCTCCTCTCGCACCCAGCCTCTGCCCCAGCAGCACCGCCCCCTCGGAGAGTCCACGCGCGACGAACGCGCCATGGGCCCAGGCGAGCGCGCCGGTGGCGGCGGCGACGCGGGGAAGGGCAATGCGGCGGG
The DNA here is from genome assembly GCF_000001405.40 of Homo sapiens. Lineage (NCBI taxonomy): Eukaryota > Metazoa > Chordata > Mammalia > Primates > Hominidae > Homo > Homo sapiens. The sequence goes on along the minus strand of NC_000005.10, from coordinate 178,590,138 downwards.
CGGCGGCGGCGGAGGGCGCTCGGCGACGACGGCCGGGTCCCGGGCGGTGAGCGCGCTGTGCCTGCTGCTCTCCGTGGGCTCGGCGGCTGCCTGCCTGCTGCTGGGTGTCCAGGCGGCCGCGCTGCAGGGCCGGGTGGCGGCGCTCGAGGAGGAGCGGGAGCTGCTGCGGCGCGCGGGGCCGCCAGGCGCCCTGGACGCCTGGGCCGAGCCGCACCTGGAGCGCCTGCTGCGGGAGGTGAGCGTCTTGGCGCGTGGCTGGGGCGGACTTGGGTGTGTCGGGTTGAGGGTGGCGGTACGCTGGGAGCCGGGGGCAGCGTGCAGGTCTCTGGGAGGAGGGTCGCCCGCCGGCTGCGTGCGCTCGGGGCCGTCCCAGAGATGGGCACGTCTGCGCCAAGGCGGAGGCAGGGGGTGCCGGCCCCAAGGGGTTTTGCGGTCTCCGCTCCGGCCTCAGGGTCCCGTGCCAGGCAGGCGGCCGCGAGAAAGGGGAAGGAGAGACCAGGGACTTTGGAGTAACAGACCTAGGGTCAGTCTCCACGGGGTGTGCGCTCGGACACGCCGCTTCCCGCCGGCGGCCAGAGTCGGGGATAAAGATGAGGCTCGTGGGAAGTATCTGGTGACTGTGACCAGTAGCACCTACTGTTCCTAACCAACGCTGGTACACCTGGAGAGGCGGTGGTCACGGCGGAGGAAAGCCTCAGACAGGCCCGAGGGCTGGGCCCCGCTGTGCTCCAGTGTGTCTCCAGCAGCTCAGGCCCCAAGACTGAGCGGTCACCGTCGCACTGAGGCCTCGGGGATGGGGGTGGGGGCGCCCACATGACTTGGTAAGATGAGAGGAAGGAGAAACAATCGGGGGTGGAGGACCTGGATTCTGGTTTCAGGCGGTGCCATCTGGGGTGTGGGCTCGCAGGACATCCGGAGTTTCCCGTCCCTTACCTGGGAATCGCGACTTCCACAGCTTACTTGAAAGCTCATATGAGGCTCTGTGACACTTCTAAGGGTTAAGATTGCTGCTGTGTGTCTTCAAAGAAAGAGCCACCTTTGGGTCCTCCAAGCCCTCACCCAGCATGTTGGTCAAAGCCTCCGCCTTTTGTGTGCGGCATGTGCGGCAGTTCCCCTCCCCACGAAACTGGACAGGCCCTGGTGGGCTGGCCAGAGCCTCCCCTGCCGAGCCTTCCTCCTTCTCCTGGGATAGATGGCTGCTCCAGACCCCAAGGTCGCTGTCCAAGGGCGCATCCTCAATTGCTGTGTGAAAACAGGCAGGGTTTCAAGGTGGAGGAGAGGGAGCACTGGCCTGTACACCCCCAATTCCCTAGACTGCCCAGCTGGGATCTTTATTAACGTATCCAGCTGTGTTTCCAATGTTGAGTTCCTTTGGATTCCAAAGGAAAGTGGGAGAAGATGACTTGCGTACCACACCTCCTTGTTCACCCCACCTGTTTCTTAGTCACTTTAATTTAAGCTAGGATCACATCTCTTCTAGCTGGGTTCTGGGTAAAATTGCTGCTTCATGAAATGATTTCCTATTTTACCCTTGAAAGGGCCTGCAGACTTAAAACTCTCTCTCAGCCCTGCTGGAAACTCCTGGCGATGGTTTCATAATTGCCGCCCATTAGCTTTTGGCAAATGCCTGGAGACCAGGGTGTTGAATTGATTTATAGAGGGCCAGTAAAGTTTCTACCTGTTAGCGCTATAAGTGTGGCTGCTCTTTCTCATAGGAGGCCTCTCTTATTTGCTAAAAATAAACCGCAAGCCCTGATTGAGTAAATCAGAAGTCCTGATACAACCATTTTACAAGGAACTACAAATTGTGTCTATTTTAGGAGGGAGGGGCATCCTGGGCAGGCAGCCACTGCTGGGAAGTGTTGATTTTTGAGTCCTGAACTTCAGCGGGAGAGACTGCAGTTGCTCTCCCAGGCTTCCCCCCTCCCGGCTGCACTGAATTTTACCTGGGTGAACTACAGTGCTTGAACAATGAGTTATTGGACAGGGTGTGTGTTCTCTCTCTCTCTCTGTTCTTGATTAGAAAGGCAAGAGAAAAATTTAGAATCCAGGGAACCCTGTATTCTGGAGAATTTGCCGTGCCATTCACACGTGGTCCTGCTCGCTAATCCCAGCTGGGTATCTGAGGCGCATGCTGTGCGTGGAGTGTAAGCTGGCTGGGTTTTCCCGCCAGTGGAGAGTCAGAGATGGTGCAGTATGAATGCAGTTGGGGCTGAACTTCTGGTTGTTTGGGTGGCCCCTGTGAGACAGCTTCTCTCTCTTAGGGTACCAGCCTGTTTCTGCTAGGAGCTATTCTTCTTGTAAATGTCACTGGATGGGAAATGTACACAGCCTGGCCGGTAACAATGAGTTCCTTGGCTGGGAGGAGAGCACTGTGGGAGGCACATACAGGGAGTGAGTAATTAACTCTAATTAGATGTATAGATACTTTTTCAAGCCATTAGATATGAAAGCCAAATAAATATTGAACTCAAAATCTCGGAAGAAAAGAACATTTGTACTTGAAGCTGTTTTTCAGTTCTGATTTGTTCTCAGTGAAGCCTCTTTTCCGTGTATGTGAGTGTGCGGGCAGCTTGTCCTACAGCAAACTTGTTTCCAGAGAACCAGAGGCAGAAACCATGTCCACATTAAAGAAAAGACATCCTTGCCAACCATACATGGCTTTAATGTCAGGGGGAAAGAAGCCAACAAAAGCCACTGTGAATATGGGACCCACTCTCTTTGTTCCCTTGGGAACAGAACTGTGAAATAACTTTTTCTGGGACCGGCTGATGTGCCCGATAATGAAGATACAGAAGCTACAAGAAAGGAATATTCATGTCAACTCATGATCATTAAAGACCCTTCCCATGGCACACAAAGGAAGAGATAAACAAGATTTCTGAGTAAGAGCCATGAACGATCGTATCTTCACTATGATGTGAAAATATTCATGCAAAAAAATCTAATATTTTCCTCTTAAAGTGCTTTAAATAGGTTGCCTAAGTAATCAATCCCCCCATCTTATACCTATAGTTACAATGTTATAAAAGCTTAAAACTTTAGAATACATGGCTTTCATAATACAGTAAAAAATGTAATGCAAGGATTAAAGAAATATTTAGTTGTATTCAGAGGAGACCATGCCAGCTTACAATGGATTTATTGTTGGCTGTTGGCCTTCCATTGTCCAGACCAATCAGTTTGAAAACAAGAAAAGCCCAGAGACTCGAGTAAAGTTTACGCATTTTCCTTTTCTCTTATCAACTCTGTATATTGGTTAAATACTGTCAACCCAGAGTCAAATGGAGATTTTTCAGCCTCTTTGGTGGTTTGTCTACTTGTCAGGGCTGCTCTCTGCTGTCAGTTTTAATTAAGATGCCTATTTTTGAATTCCATGGCACAACTGGAGATGCAGTGTAAATCATAGCTACATTTGTTTCCTTGACATTTCCTGGCTCCCAAAACAACAAAAAAAAGTTTCCTTTCAATGACTTCTTGGCATGTTCACTTTCTCTCTCCACTCTTTTCTTGTCCTTTTTTTTTTTTCCTTGCAACAGTTTGGGAGAGCTTTATAATAATAGTAGCATGTTTAGAATGAGCCAAGGATTGGGGCGTTCCTTTCACAGACATATTTTGTCATTTTGGATTGGACTTTTCCACATCGGCTTTGAAAATTTGAGGCATGGCCCCTGAGGTTGGGGAATCTGTAAGCTGAATGAATTTATACCAGAGGCAGAGCAGAGCAGACCATGCCTGAGGTTTCCTATCAGCAGAAGAGAGTTTGAGGCCTGGTCCCACCATTTACCAGCTCTGTCATCCAACCTCTTCCACTGCCTCTCCTCTGATAGTGTGGTCACAGCTCCCATGTATGCAAATATGATAACAGACAGGAAAAGTACAGGATGGTAAATATGCTTTTGATGGGAAGTAACAGAATATCTGAGTGTCCTTTCTTAGCACACACTACAGGAGAAGCTTGGAAGACGGTCAGCGCATCCTGGGTCTGTCAGCGACTTGGCCACACCTGAGTACCACTCAGTCTCTGCCGTTCTCTTGTCCTTTCCTCATGGTCACAAGGTGGCTGCTGCAGCTGTGAACCTATGTCTTCACCCAAGAGTAGCCTGGGTAGAAGGGAAGGGGGCAGGGAAGAGAGCGGTCTTCTTGAGAGGTTGTCTCTTTAATTTCAATTCAGGGGAAAACTTTCCCACCTTTCGGCAGACTTACAGCCACTAGCCAGAGCTAGGTCACAGGGTCGCCATCCCCTTCACTGGCAAGGGTAATGCGATCGCCATAGGAGGCTTTGGCCAATCTTGACTCATCCCCTGAGGCTGGGCGTGTTGCCGCTGGAACAGAATCGAGGCTTTGGTAGGAAGGAAGACTGGGCATGGCTACTGGGGAGCAACCAACAGGGTCAGCCAGGGCTGTGGAGTGTTACCCCAGCGCCATCCAGGGCTGTAGGGCATTACCCCAGCGCCATCCAGGGCTGTGGAGTGTTACCCCAGCGCCATCCAGGGCTGTGGAGTGTTACCCCAGCGCCATCCAGGGCTGTGGAGTGTTACCCCAGCGCCATCCAGGGCTGTGGAGTGTTACCCCCAGCATCAACCAGGGCTGTGGAGTGTTACTCCAGCGTCATCCAGGGACGTGGAGTGTTACTCCAGCGTCATCCAGGGCTGTGGAGTGTTACCCCCAGCATCAACCAGGGACGTGGAGTGTTACCCCAGTGTCAACCAGGGCTGTGGAGTGTTACCCACACATCAGTCAGGGCCGCGGAGTGTTACCCTAGAGTCAGCTGGGGCCATAGAGTGTTACCTGAGCGTCAGCCGGGGCCACAAGTGTTACCCCAGGGTCAGCCGTGGAGTGTTACCCCAGTGTCTGCTGGGGCCATGGAATGTTTCTGTTGTCACCCCAGAGGAGGGTGGGGCAGAGCGGGGGTTCAGTCATCCACTGGCCCGCCTAAGTTCTCATAACTGGGCCTTCCTTCTGCTTTGGTGTTTCCCAAGGACCACATTTTGGGAACATTCTTCAACCACAAAATTTCTGCCTCCCCTGGGGCTCTGCTGTCCAGCTGTGCTGCCGGCCACAGCTGAAGGGAAGGTTGATGGGTTTGGGATTGTCTCTGGCACAGTCCCGTTGGTTGCAGTCTTTGGCCTTTAACCCTTGAGCAGATGCTGTTCTGCCCCCGAAGTGAGTGACTAAGGGTGGCACTCTAGGACATTGCTTGCCAGCTTTCCCATATCATAGCACATGCAAAGAATGGTAGCACTTCCCTCACTGCAGGAAGGGAAGAGGACACTAGGCTGGAGGTGACCAGCCACTCCCCAGCCCCGAAGGACCAAGGTAGTCAGTCTACCAGAGACCACATACAGTGCACCTGCACCCACTCGGTGTGTCTGGGAAGCTCTGTTACCCCCTACTATCCTGCCTTTCCCCCAGCTCCTTGGCTTTCTTAGCAGCCATATCTGACTGTGGCCTCCAAATCCCCTTCCAGAGCAGGTGCAGTTACAGTCATGGTCTCCAGAGCAGGCTGTCCCTCCTTCCCTCACCGAGCAGCAACCCATTAGCTTCAACCTTTCTAGATGCCTTTGGATCCTTTTACCCTCAAATAGCAATGTGACATGACTCCAAGATGGTGCAGCTTAATTTCAAAGAATTCAGGCTGGGGCGTGGTGGTTCACACCTATAATCTCAGTGCTTTGGGGGACCAAGGTGGGTGCATAACTTGAGCCCAGGAGTTCAAGACCAGTTTGGATGATATAGCAAGACCTCGTCTCTATTTAAAAAAAAGAAAAAAATTTATATGTATTTATTTCTAGGTGTGTGTGTGTGTGTGTGTGTGTGTGTGTGTGTGGCCAGGTGCAGTGGCTCACACCTGTAATCCCAGCACTTTGGGAGGCCGAAGTGGGTGGATCACCTGAGGTCAGGAGTTCGAGACCAGCCTGGACAACATGGCGAAACCCTGTCTCTACTAAAAACACCAAATTTAGCCAGGCATGGTGACATGTGCCTGTAATCCCAGCTACTTGGGAGGCACGAGAATCACTTGAATCCGGCAGGCGGAGGTTGCAGTGGGCCAAGATCATGGCACTGTACTCTAGCCTGGGTGAGTACATCTCAAAAAAAATAATAATCAGCTGGGCATGGTGGCGCAAGCCTGTAGACCAGCTCCTCGAGACACTGAGGTGTGAGGATTGCTCGAGCCCAGGTGTTTAAGGTTGCAGTGAGCCATGATTGCGCCACTGCACTCCAGCCTGGGTGACAGACTGAGGCTGTTTCAACAACAAATAAAAATTGGGGAGAAAGCAGGGGGTTATTAATTAGCTTGAGTAACGGAGAAGTCCAGGCTAGTGTCTGTGTAGGCCCGGCTCAAGGTGCCTGGATTTTGTTTCTTCCTCTTGGCTCCATATTTCTCAAGGATGCCCTCACTCTCCCCATAAAGTGCCAGGGAAGCTTCCAGCAACTCCAGATTCACATCCTTAGTGTTAGTTTCTGTTTTCCAACAGTCCCAGCAGAAATTCCCTAATTCCCTCTGATGGACCAGTGTGGATTGCCTGCATTTATCAGTACAGACAGCCTGCATCTAACAATACGGATTACCCGTCCTGGTCACTGAGACCCGCAGGGCAGCCTCTCGATGGGCGAGGCTCAGCTGCGTCTGTGTGTGTGTGTTCATGTGTGTGCACGATCAACCCCACTGGAGCTCTAGGGACCAAGAAGTGAAAGCTGATCCCAAAGGACAATTTGGAGTGGTGTTATTGGAAGAAAAGGGAGAGGACATGAGGCCGGCAAAACCAGTAGGTGACCATCCAAGGAATAGGGTGAGAAGCTTGGGCTCTAAGCTGGAGCTGTGTTCTAGAGAAATTCCACCTCAGTGGCATGAAACTCAATGAAAGGATTTTTGATCCAGTGGGGAGGCCAGTGGGTGCTTGTTCTCTAGGGGTTTATGTACATTGATAAATTTGGGTTTATCGGTAGCAGTGTCGAAATCTGTGTTTCTCTGTATATACTGTGCTTACAAAATGTCAGCTTTACAAGTTACTTCAAATCCTAAAAGTTGCCCACAACAGCCTCATGAGATGTACAGACAGAGGTTACTGACATTGTTTTACAGGGGGAGAAATGTCACAGAGGCGGAAGAGCACGCAGGGCCAGGCCTGAGCTCCCTTAGGTTTGCAGCCTGCCTGGGAAGAAGGGAGTGAAAGGGACGAATGTCTGCGAACCCTGTGTGTGGGTTTGGCACTCAGTCTGGGACAGTGCGGGTGTGCCCAGGTCAGGCCACCTACTCCCAGGTCCCTGTTTCTCTGCCCACTTTCATCAGCTTCCTGGGGAATGTTCTCACGGGGAGTGTTCTCAGAGGATGTCTCTGGCCTGGTTGGGGAGTCTGGGGAGTACCCCAAGTCCTCGGGACCTGGAATGGTGAGGTGCATGTAGCCTGGGGGTAGTCACGCCTTGCTTGGTGCTTTTGGAGGGCGGAGTCTGGAAGAGGAAAATGCTGAGGGCTGGAGGGGAAGGCTCTAGATGAGGAGCCTGGGGGCCTCTCTGAGCCTCAGTTCTGGCTGTGAGGTGGGGCTGGCGCAGCCAGGGGTGCGCTGTGAGCCCTGTGCCCCGCTGTCCTCTGCTTTCAGGACCTCGCGAAGTGTGGATGTGATCCTGCACCTTCAGAGGAGCCCTCTCTGCCCCACAGATTTCTACGTTGCTCCCTTCTCTCGAAATAATTCTGAGTCCCTCCCTGGGGCAGTGGCGGGTGTTGGGGAGGTGGAGATCCTTCACAGTGCCCTCCTCCAGGCAGCTGCACATCGCATTCTTGCCCCTTGACGTGCCCATTAGCGCTCCAGCTCCTGCTGCCGCTGAGCTGTGGCTGCCTCCTTTACCTAGACTCTCAGGTCGGGAAATGGCATAATGGCTTGCCCATCCTTCTCTCCCTTCCTTTTTTTTTTTTTTTTTTTTTTTTTTGAGATAGAGTCTCGTCCTGTCTCCCAGGCTGGAGTGCAGTCGTGTGATCATAGCTCACTGCAGTCTTGAACTCCTGGCCTCAAACAGTCTTCCTGCCTCAGCCTCCCAAAATGCTGGGATTACAGATCTAAGCTACTGCACCTGTTCCCCCTGCCCCGCACTTTTTTCTTTTTTAAATAACCAAGCTATGTCTTGATTTAGCATGATGAATGTTACCCTATAATCTTACCATCCTAAACCAAGGGCTGTTTAACTTTCTGCGCAATCCTTTCTCATCCATCATGTAGACAGATATTTGCTTACCTAATTTTAACCACAGAATGCATACCATTTTTACCTTGCTTTTAAACTGTACATCAGACACATTTTTCCAGGTGATGGCTCATCTTTAGGGTCATGTGTGATGACTGTACCGTATATCCCATCAAGAAAATCTTGCATATCCCATCAAGAAAATCTGCATCCTACTATCAACGTGGCATACACCCTCCCCCTATTTTTGTTAGTGCAGATAATGGTACAGTCAGTGGTTTTGAGGGGAAAGTTTCTTTCTTCTGTTATTCTTTGGGATGTGGAGTAACTGGATACAGAAGGATGTCTTTCGGGCTTTGTTTTTCGTTTTAATTTTTTTTTTTTTTTTTGAGACGGAATCTCACTCTGTCGCCCAGGCTGGAGTGCAGTGGCATGATCTTGGCTCACTGCAACCTCTGTCTCCCGGGTTCAAGCGATTCTCCTGCCTCAGCCTCCCGAGTAGCTGGGATTACAGGTGTGTGCCACCATGCCTGGCTAATTTTTGTATTTTTAGTAGAGTTGGAGTTTCACCATGTTGGCCAGGATGGTCTTGAACTCCTGACCTCAGGTGATTTGCCTGCCTTGGCCTCCCAAAGTGCTGGGATTACAGGCATGAGCCACCACGCTCAGCCTCGTTTTAATTTTAGAACATCTGAGTTTGAGACAGACAGGTTTCTCCTCCTGTGGTATTCGGAAGCTGTGGGACCATTATGAAATTGTGCTTCAAGTTTTATAATGGGCAACGTGGATTCAATATATCTTTTAGTTGAATTTTTAATTTCAGTTGGATTTATCATTGTTGTCGAAAGCAAAAAGCAATTGATAACAAAGAAAGCCTTTAAGTTTGAAAGTTTCATTTCAGAATGAAACCCCTGTATCAGTTTGGTGTGGAAACTTTATTTCTTTTTGAGATAGAGTCTCGCTCTGTCACCCAGGCAGGTGTGCAGTGGTGTGATGACAGCTCACTGCAGCCTCCGCTCCTGGACTCAGGTGATCCTTCCGCCTCAGCCTCCCGAGTATCTGGGACTACAGGTGAGCACCACCACAGCTGGCTAATTTGTAAAGTTATTGTCTTGCTGTGTTGACCAGGCTGGTCTTTCACTGCTGGACTCAAGCAGCCCTCCCACCTTGGCCTTCCAAAGTGTTGAGATTACAGGCATGAGCCAACCACACCCGGCCAGAAACCTTTCTTGAGCAGCATTTAGTGGTGCCAGGCACCGTGCTTGGTCCTCACTGTGATTTGTCGTTATGTGAACGAATGTAATTCAGTTTGGGAAGATTCTCCAGAGGCCACACACCACCTCCAGCTTTCTCCCTTATGCAGTTTTCATCATGTGTTGAATCAGGATTAATCTTTAACTGTTGACATAGGCACGCAGAGAACATCCCTTCATCATGTCCAGAAACATATTTCAGGACTAAGCACGAACCATTGGGGAAAAAAAAAAAAGCTTGCAGATGTCCTCTGAAAGTCACGTGTCGGCGTACTTCTAGAGGCTATAGGAGAAACAACTGTGTGCGTCCCATGTGTGTCCTGGGCAGAGGATTCACATGTCCTCTAGTTTCTTTCTTTCTTTTTTTTTTTTTTGAGATGGAGTCTCAGTCTGTTGCCCAGGCTGGAGTGCAATGGCACGATCTCGGCTCACTGCAGCCTCTGCCTCTCAGGTTCAAGTGATTCTACTGCCTCAGCCTCTGGAGTAGCTGGGATTACAGGCATGCGCCATCACACCCGGCTAAGTTTTGTATTTTTAGTAGAGATGGAGTTTCACCATGTTGGCCAGACTGTTCTCTAACTCCTGATCTCAAGTGATCCACCCGCCTTGGCCTCCCAAAGTGCTGGGATTACAGGTGTGAGCCACCATGCCCGGCCTCATGTCCTCTAGTTTCTCAACAGCCTCCTCTCTCTACAGCTGCTCTATCGTGGGTAAGATGGGATCCAGCCTCCCAGAGAGGGGCAGCGATTGGCCCCTGGTGGCAATGGGCACCTGAACCTAGGTGACCCAGTAACCTCACTCCTAATCCCTAGCCCTTTCCACAGCCTCATGGCAGACCTGGTGGAAACAATGATTTGGCTTTGAGCAGCAGCTTTTTCTGCGAGTGTGGACATCCTTGTAGACATCTGTAAGTGATGGATGCGTGGAGTGGCAGGGAAGACTTCAGCCTTGGCCAGACGCGGTGGCTCATGCCTGTAATCCCAGCACTTTGGGAGTCTGAGGCAGGTGGATCACAAGGTCAAGAGTTCGAGACCAGCCTGGCAAACATGGTGAAACCCCGTCTCTCCTAAAAGTACAAAAATCAGCCGTGCGCGGTAGTGGGTGTCTGTAATCCGAGCTACTCGGGAAGCTGAGGCAGGAGAATCTCTTGAACCCGGGAGGCAGAGGTTGTAGTGAGCCGAGATCTCGCCACCACACTCTATCCTGGGCGACAGAGCAAGACTCCGTCTCAAAACAAACAAACAAAGACTTCAGCCTTGAGGACACCCAGGTTCACATCCCAGCACTGCTATTTTCCAGCTGTGTGACCTCCGGTAAATGAGTGTTTTTCCAAACCTCAGTTTGCCCATCTGTTAAACAGGGATTATAGTACTTGTCTCACAAAGTTTCTGTGAGAATTAAACAAGGGGATGTATCCCAAGCGCTCAGCATGTCGTGCACACCCTGAACATGGCTGCTGGTATTAGAGTTTTTTCTTTGACTGAATTTGGAAGGAATGTCTACATCTGTTTGCTAATCGAGGTCCCATGGTGACACGGCTGACTTTAAGATTCTTTTAACACCGGGATTCTGCCATCCTATTAAGGATATACAGAAGCAAAAAAGCTGTTAGCACATGTCCAGCCTCTGAGTCAAGGAGCAGAGAAATGTGAGTTGGTTGTTGAAGAAATGCAAAGACTGAATTTGCTTCATGACCCCATTTTTTGGTTTATCATTTGAGCAGACTGAGACTTTCCATTAATTTTAAAAAGTCATGACCAAAATAAAAATAAAATTATTCATGAAAATAATTGTATGGATTTGTCATTGTGAAAGGGCACACAAATACCTAATCAATTTGCTTTAATTAAGAGAGTCCTCTGTCTCAAAAAAAAAAAGTCTGCTTTTATAATCATGCGGTATGGCGGCAACACGGCGAAATGCTCGTGGTTAACCTGGTGAGCTAGAGGCTTCACACACATCTGCTTCGCTTCACACTGGGAAATGAGAAAATCTATTCTCCTGATGTAGCCACGGAATTTTTGGGGGGCAGGGGTGGGTGGGGGAAGGCGGTGCTTGCAAATGGGTAATGGCAACTTCTAAAATGGAATTTGTTTCCAACTCTGAGCTGTGAAACAAGGCATAAAGCAATTAGAATGTATTTGAAAAGACAGTTTAAATAAAATCTACTCAACTTTGGGCCTCCCGGGAGGAACATCACACAAAAAATGCCGGATCTGCTCATTGATTTGACTGTGCTTTAACTGCGCCTTTTTGCGTGGGGCTTGGGCGGTTATATTACCTCCTGCAGCCTCCTTTCAGACCAGGCTTGTGGTGCAGTCAGGAAGGGAAGATTCCCATGATGTCAAGGGGACTCGAGTGTGTGTGAGCGTGAGCTAGTGTGAGGGTGGAAGTGTGTATGTGTGTGCCAGGAGAATGCATGCATGTGTGTGTACATGGGTGTGTGTGCACGTGTGTGCCAGGAGTATGCATGTGTGCATATGTGTGTGTACATGGGTGTATGTGTGCACGTGTTTCATGTATGCATATGCACGTAAGTATGCCTGTGTGTGCATGTGTGTGCATGCATGTGTGTGTGTGCATGAATGTGTGCATGTGGGCGTGTGCATGCATGTGTGTGTGCATGAGTGTGTGTGTGCATGTGGGTGTGTGCATGCACGTGTGTGCATGCTGTGTGGGCACTGTACAGGCATCTCACTTAGACAGTGAGAGACTTTATAAGGTCCCCAGATGGGACCAGCCTGACCTTATCGCCTCACTGTGGAAGTTATCCCGTCCAAGTGTCCCCGAAAGACCCTGTAGCTGGGCCCTGACGGCTCATGCAGTGGGCTTTAGAATTGGGAAGCCTGGGTCTGAGTCCAGAGCTGCCTCTGAACCGGCCAGCGTCCTGGGACAAGTTGGTTGACCTTTCCGAACCTCGGCTTCCTCTTCTGGAAAGGGGCTGGCCGAATCCGCCTCGCTGGTCTTGGTGAGGACTGAGCAATGGCCCTTCTGGGGCTGCCCCGCGGGGGCGCAGCGCGGCCAGAGGAGCCCCCTTGACACTCGCTCTGGTCTGGGCTGGTACAGAGACCCCATCCAGGCAGCGGGGGGCAGGCGCGGGTTCTGGGAGGGCCCTGGGCTGTTCCCCAGGTCTCCTCCCCAGGCCCCGCGCGCCAGGCCCTGCTGAAAGCCCCAGCGGATTCCCCGGGTCCTGTCCTCGGTGAGTGCCTGAGCTTCCCCCTACAGCACCACGCCGAGGTGGCGGTGTCATGGGCTGAATCGTGTGCCTCCTTCCCGTGGCGAAGTCCTCACCCCTGGGCCTCCGGATGCGGCCGCCCTTGGGGATGGGGTCTTTAAAGAGGCGGATGAGGTGGCACAGGTCGTTGTGGGGGGGCCCTGATCCAACAGGGCTGGTGTCCCGAGAAGAGGGGAGACGCGGCCAGCACGCTGGGACCACCAGCCGCAGGGAGAGGGCTCGGGAAGAAGCAGGCCCCGCCAGGACGCGGGAATGAACGGCGCGCCGCGCCCCGGGCTCCGGACCACCCGCGGGATCCCCGGACGGCAGAGCAGGGACCCGCTGGGCCTTGGGAGTTGGGCTGAGCGAGGAGCGCCGGGGCCTCGGCCCACAGGGCGCGGAGGCGCAGACGGCGACAGGGAGGACCCCGGCGGGGAGTCCTCAGGCAGAAGCAGTACCGCGCTAGGGACACAGGCGCCGGCCGCTGCCCGAGGAGGGGCCGCTCCCCGGGCGCTGCGCTGGGGCCGGGGCGCAGCGGGGAAGACGTCTCCGCGGGGCTGACCCGGCAGAGCGGCCAGCGCCGCGCTGCTCGCCTGGTCCAAAGCCGAACCCAGGCGGCCTCCCGTGCGCGCAGGGGGAGGGGCGGCGCTGCCCGAGAGGCCCGCGCTGGAGGCGGAGGCCTGGCGCCTCGGAGGACAGGACCGAGAGGCCGGCGCGGCGGTCGCCGGGGGACCCGTTGGGGCTTTTCGCAGGGCCTGGCGCGCGGGGCCCGGGGAGGAGACCGCGGCCGTGGGGAGGAGAGAGTTCGAGGATCAGGAACAGCCCGGGGCCCTCCACGACCCCGCGCCTGTCCCCGCTCCTACCGCCTGGATGGGTCTCTGCGCCAGCCCAGCATGGTGAACCCTGGAGGGCGGGTTCTGAGAAGCCGTGTGTGTCTTTGAAAAATAATGAGGACGGGCTCGGTGGGTGGCTCACGCCCGTAATCCCAGCACTTTGGGAGGCCGAGGCGGGTGGATCACGAGGTCAGGAGTTCGAGACCAGCCTCGCCAGTATGGCGAAACCCCGTCTCTACTAAAAATACAAAAATCAGGCGTGGTGGGGGGCGCCTGTAGTCCCAGCTACTTGGGAGGGTGAGGCAGGAGAATCGGTTGAACCCGGGAGGCGGAGGTTGCAGTGAGCTAACATCATGCCACTGGACTCCAGCCTGGGGCGACAAGAGTGAGACTCCGTCTAAAAAAAAAGGATAATGAATGGCAACGCCAGTGGGCTATTGGGCAGCAGGGCAAGACTTTTTCAGCCAGTATGCTTTAGGGAACTGAACTTTGCTTGAAAAAACTACCTTCGCAAAATCACCCCCAACGGCTGTAAGTTGGAGCTCCCAGCATCGACTTGCTGCGCAAGGAGAAACACAGTCTGAAGGGGTATTGAGGGACTGCCAAAAGCACTGCGGCTTCGTGACCGAGCCCCTCTCGACATCACTGTCCAGGCCAATTTGAGTTGGGTTTTTATCCATCGCTACTAGAGGAATCAATGGATTGACTTGCTCGCTTGGAAGATTGTGAAGTAGTTGTGGCTACGGTCATATTCCGAACACCTGGTGTATGTGAGTTTCTCTGAGGACACATATGCCTGGCAAAACTCGGAGCAAGTGAAGGTGGACCTGGTCTCCGCTTCCTTCCTGTCCTGCGCCCCTTCTCCTCACCCCCAACACAATGGCTCATGCACTCTTCTTGCCTTTCCCAGGAACTGTCCTGCGTTCTGTTTCTGCTCTCACAGCAATCAGTCTCCTGAATAGTGAGGACCAGGTGGCAGGTGCCTTGTCTATGGGAAGAGCACAGGACCTGCTGTGGGAAGACTTGCTTTTTAGTTCCAGCTTTGCCACTGCCCATCTAGGTGGTCTAGGTGAGCCATGGAACTGCTTGAGATTTATCTTCCAAAAAGATAGGTGGAAATAATGATAATCCATGATCTTCTGCAGGAGCTCCTAGTGAGGGCCTAAGGAGGTAACACATAGGAGTGTGTTGTGAACGGCAAATTAACACGAAAAACATGTTGCTGTTAATAAGCAGCTGAATGTGTGGCTTTCCTTGGGAAATGCTGCATTTTCAAAGGGGGTCTTTGAAGAGGGGCCACTCCTTCATTCCCTACACGAGCGAAGCTGTAGTGGTGGAAAGACAGCCTTAGGAAGGGTTGTATTATTTTGAGGTTAAGAGGTGCTTCCTAACTGCCCAATTATCCCTTAGTTTTGTGGCTGACTTCATTCCCAGGATAGTAGTTAAGACCTGGAGGTTCCTGTTTCCTAAAGGAGGACACTTTTCTTTTCATTAGAGGATATTTCTGCAGCACTCATAAGGCAAGAAGTGGTGTTGAAAAAGGATGGACCAAATGAACAGCCTGGCTCCCCTTGACCCTAAGAGTACAGGTGGGGAGCTGTGCGGAGCTGTCCTTTCCTTCTTCTGAAGGAAAAAGCGACTGACACATAAAAGATACCAGGATGAAGATTGCTAGTTAATGACTGCTAAGAACTTGAAAGCAAATGAAGAGTTGTCCCAAAAGAATGGGCTGGAAGTACTGATCTCACATGCCAAATCAGGTAAGTGCCTGGATTCCTATTGAGCAGGAGTGCTGGAGAAGGGACTCTGGTTTGAAGAGAAGTCAGGTGGATGGTGTCCTCATTCTCTCCAACTCGGAGATGCTAAGCTGAATACCTTCAGCGTTTAGCATTCATGAAGTGGGAAAGACAACATAGATTGTCTTACGTTTCTTGACACTGCAAACCGGTTGCCGCAAGAAACAGAATGCTGTATTTTTGAGCCACCCTTTTGGAGTAAGCTTCTCTCTCACAGTGTGTATATTTGTGGGGAAACAATGTATGTTATCTGAATGTCTCCCTGCAAGGAGCATTAAGCGGCTTCCAAACATTTCCCGGGAGCAACCTTTTCATTGGCGTCTGTGTAGCATCCAACCCCGTGGCGAGTAGAATGCTTGGACAAATGGAGGGGCTGGCACGGTTTCCTTGTGGGATTCCACTGAGAATTTCCCTCCACATCCTGCAACTTACTTTTTTTCTTTTGTTCTAACTCTTAAAAAAGAAAGGATATAATTTACACACAATAAAATCACAGATTTTAAGTGTAGAGTTAGATGGATGTTGACAAATATATGCGCCCATGACCAGCATCTCCAATAAGTACAGAATATTTTTAACATCTCAGAAAATTCCCTATGCCCCTTTCTTGTCTCCACCCAGAGGTAACCGCCTTCTTGCTTTCTATCACCAATAGCTCAGTTTTGCCTGTTCTAGAACCTCATATAAATAGAACCCTCAGGTCCAGGTGCGGTGGCTCATGCCTGGAATCCCAGCACTTTGGGAGGCTGAGGTGGGTGGATCACTTGAGGTCAGGAGTTCAAGAGTAGCCTGGTCAACATGGTGAAACCCTGTCTCTACTAAAAATACAAAAATTAGGCGGGCGTGATGGTGGGCGCCTGTACCCCCAGCTACTCAGGAGGCTGAGGCAGGAGAATCGCTTGAACCTGGGAGGCTGAATTTGCAGTGAGTGGAGATTGCATCACTGTACTCCAGCCTGGGTGACAGAGCGAGACTCTGTCTCAACAAAGAAAAAAAAAAAGAACCCTATGGTATGGTATGTCTTCTTTTATGTGTGGTTCCTTTGCTTAAAATAGTGCTTTTGAGATTTATTCATGTATTTGCACGTATCAATAACTCTTTGTATTATAGAGTAGTATTTCATTGTATGACTATATCACTATTCATTCTCCTGTTAATGAGCATTTGAGTTGTTTCCAGTATTGGGTTATTATTAATAAAACTGCTGTGAATATTTTCTACAAAAATAATTTTAAAAAATAATGAATGTGAATGTGAATGAAGGATTACTGAGGAATCCCATTTGTTTGTAGACCAACCCTTTCAAAACATGTTAATGTATTTCAGGACCTATCAGGGACCCTTGAGGAAATGCGTTTGCTGACGTGGTTTGAAAGAGAGTCACTCAGTGTGCCAATGGGAGTCACTGATTAAACCCACATTCTTAGAGAAAAGCCAAGTGGCTCCTGCCAAGTGCGGTGGCCGGGCCAGACGCTCTCACAATTGGCCTTTGCCATGACTCTGCTGGGTGCTTTACCTGTCACCGAACCCAGGCAGAACCTGAGGCTCAGTGTGATGCCTTCTGTACCCAGGACACACACTCTACCACCCACCAAGTCTGTAGAAGCCGCAGCCTGGGATTTTTGTTGTTTGCCTTTTTTTTTGAAGTATAATTGACATACAGTGAACTCCACAAATTAAAAATGCACAACTTAATAAATTTTGACATCTGTGCACAACTATGAAACCCTCTCCACAGTCTAGATAGGGAATGCATCCCTCACCCTCCAGAGTTTCCTCCTGCCTCGTTCAGTTCCCTCCCTTCCATCCCTCCCTGCCTGCCACCAACGTGCCACTGATTTTGTTACTATTGATTTCTGTTCATTTTCCAGGATTTTTCTCTGGGTGGAATAACACACTCTTTGTTCGTCTGGTTTCTTTCACTCAGTGTAGTTATTGAGAGATACTTTAGTATGTTTATGTAGTGCTTATACAAAGAACTGCTTTTGCACAATAGTTAATTCATTCTTTTTCATTACCGAGTATTACTTCACTATATGGATATACCACAATTTGTTTATCCATTCAGCTATTGATGGAAGTTTGGATTGTTTCCAGTTTTTGTCTATTGTAAATAAAGCTGCTATGGGTATTCACGTGCCAGTCCCTGTACGGATTTATTCTTTCATTTCTCTTGGATGTAAATACCTTGGAGTGGAATGGCTGAGCATATGATATGTGTATTATTAACTTTTTAAGAAACTGTTGCTGAAGGCCATCGCATCATTTCAGATTCCCACCAGCAGTGTAGGACAATTCCAGTTGCTCATGTATATGTCATTTTTCTCTGACTGCTTTTAAGATTTTCTCTTTATTGCTGGTTTTAAGCAATCTGATTATGATATATCTTGGTGTCGTTTTCTTGATTTTTTTTTGTGTGTGCTTGGGTTTCATTGTGATTCTTAGATCTGTGGATTTATAATTTTCACCAAATTTGAAAACACTTTTTGACTATTCTTCAAAATTTTTTTTTCTATTTTGCTCTTTCTCACTCCTCATTTGGTGACTCCAATTACACATATTTTGACCACTTGAAGTCCCACAGTTCACTAGTTGTCTTCTTTGTCTTTTCCTTTTAAAAATAATTCTCTGTGTGTTCATTTTAGGTAGTTTCCATTGCTGTCTTCTAGTTTATAATCTTTTCTTTGGCAATGTCTCATCTGCCATTAATCCCTTCCATCATATTTTTCATCTCAGACCTGGTAGTTTTCATCTCTGGAATTTCAGTTTAGGTCTTTTTTTTTTTTGTTTTGAGAAAGAGTCTCGCTCTGTCACCCAGGCTGGAGTGCAGTGGCGCAATCTCGGCTCATTGCAAGCTCCGCCTCTCAGGTTCACGCCATTCTCCTGCCTCAGCCTCCCGAGTAGCTGGGACTACAGGCGCCCGCCACCACACCCAGCTAGTTTTTGTATTTTTAGTAGAGACGGGGTTTCACCGTGTTAGCCAGGATGGTCTCAATCTCCTGACCTTGTGATCCGCCCGCCTCGGCCTCCCAAAGTGTTGGGATTACAGGCGTGAGCCACTGTGGCCAGCCCAGTTTAGGTCTTTTCAATACTTTGTTGTCTCTGCTGAGCTTTCTGCACATAGGCAGTACGGTTATAATAATTGCTTTAATGTCTTTGTGTGCTAATTCCAACCTCTGTGGCAGTTGTGGGCCAGTTTCAATTAATTAATTTTTTTGTTCATCATAGGGCCTATTTTCCTGCTGGTAACTTCTTATTCTTCTGCCAGACATGATGACTTTTACCTCATGAGATGCTGAATATTTTTGCATTTGTATATATATTCCTGGGCTGGAAATAGTTTGGTCCTTTAGGGTCTTGTTGGGATCCATTAGGTGGGACTAGAGCAGTGTTTCACCTAGGCCCTAGGGTTAATTCTTCCCTACTAGCAAGGCAGGGCCCTTCCTGGTGCTCCCCTAAGTATTTTATTTTTTATTTATTTATTTATTGAGACTGAGTCTCACTTTGATCACTCTGTCACCCAGGCTGGAGTGCAGTGGTGCGATCTTGGCTCACTGCAACCTCTGTCTCCCGGGTTCAAGCGATTCTCCTGCCTCAGCCTCCCAAGTAGCTGGGATTACAGGCACCTGCCACTATGCCCGGCTAATTTTTGTATTTTTAGTAGACACTGGGTGTCATCATGTTGGCCAGGCTGGTCTCGAACTCCTGATCTCAGGTGATCCTCCTGCCTCGGCCTCCCAAAGTGCTGGGATTACAGGTGTGAACCACAGTGCCATGCCTCTCCTCAGTACTTTCTCATGGTGGATTATGAGGTTTACTGGCCTGGCTGGTGGGATCGGGCATTCTCCCGGCCCCAGTGTGAATGCTGTCTGCGGTGCCCTAGAATCCTTTTCGGTGGTTCGTTCCCTGACCTCAGTCATTTCCTTGCCTGCAGGGGCTGATTAGGCCCTCTGCCTCCTACTCGAAGGGGATCCTCAGCAGATCTTGGTGGCTTTCATCTCTCCAGTCCTCTGTTCCGCACACTCTGACTGCCTCGGCCTCCCTTGGCTCTCAGCTCCATGTCTTCAATTCGGGAGGCTGCCAGGCACCACCCGCGTCCCCCCTCCATGTGCTCAGCCTGGCCACTCCCCAGGTGGGAAGCTAGAGCAGTTGTTGCCTGTCTCAAAGATCACTGTCCTTGCCTGCCTGTCCCTAGCATCTTCAAAATTATTGTTTTATATGCAGGAATACATTTGTGGCTTTTGTTGTTGATGTTGTTTAGGCAGAATGGCAAATCTAGTCATTGTCACTCTATGTTGCCTATAAGTGTAAATTCATGATCTGGTCTTTTTAAAATGTGGGGATGATTTTAGGTTTGTAGAAAAACTAATGTACTAATGTAGAAAAACATATGTACATAGTGTACATATGTACATAACCACAGTACATTGGTCAAAAGTAAGAAATTAGGCCAGGCACAGTGGCTCACACCTATAATCCCAGCACTTCGGGAGGCCGAGGCAGGCACAGATCACTTGAGCTCAGGAGTTTGAGATCATTTTGGGCAACATGATGAAACCCAGTCTCTACAAAAGATAGAAAAATTAGCCTGACTTGGCGGCACCTGTAGTCCCAACTACTTGGGAGGCTGAGGTGGGAGGATGACTTGAGCCCAGGAGGTCGAGGCTGTAGTGAGCCATGATGGTACCACTACACTCCAGCCTGGGTGACAGAGCAAGACCCTGTTTCAAAGGAAAAAAAAAAAAAGAAAAAGAAAAAGAAATGAACTGTGATACTCTGACAGGCAGAGTTCTAAGATGGTCTCCAACATTCCCGCTCCCTAGGGAACATGCTTTATACAATTCCCTCCTCTCCAGTATGGAGAGGGTATGATGGGCTATCTTCCTATGATTGAGTTACGAAGGAATCACTTGACTTTGAGTTAGTGAAAAAGGAGATTATTCAGTGGCCCTGACTTAACCAAGTGAGCCCTTGGAAGGGATGAGGACCCTCCTGAAGTCAGGGATGTGCAGCATGAAGGGGTGTGGAGGGGCTGTGTGGCAGGGAACTGTGAGCTGCCTCTGGGAACTGAGAGTACCCAGCCAACAGCCAGCAAGAGAATGAGGCCTTCCTGCTAAACCAGGAGGAACCACATGAACTTGAGAGAAGACTCAGAGCTCCAGGAAGAAACCCCCAGCTGACTCATTGATTTCAGCCTCGAGAACCTGAGCAGAGACCAACTGCAGTTATGCCCAGCCTCTGACCACACAAACTGTGATATAGTCAGTGTGTATTTAAACTGCTAACTTTGTGGCATTTGTTATACAGCAATAGAAAACGAATACAATTACTGTTAACTAAAGAGGATCAGATCAAATATATTAGTAACAATATCCCACTTTTAATGTAGCAAGATCTCAGTAAGGACTAATGTGAAGACCAGCACGAAACCATTGGAAAACTTCCACCAACGTTCAAGATGATGTTAACACGCTCATATTGCGTCTTGGTTGGAGGTGGTTAGAATCCTGATCAAGAATTTACGTGAGAAAATATTCACAAATCCTATATCTGATTAGGGTCTAGTATACAGATTCTATAAAGAGCTCCTACAGTTCAACAACAAAACTACACACAACCCAATTTTAACATGGGCAAAGGACTTGCACAGACATTTCTTCAAACAGGATATACAGATGAGCAACAAACACACGAAAAGTATCTCGACATCATTTGTCATTAGGGAAATGTAAATCAAACCCACAATGATATACCATTTCACATCCACCAGGATCTTTTGGCAAAAATGTGGAGAAATTGGAACTGTCATACGTTGCTGGTGGCAGTGTAAAATGACTCAGCCACTGTGGAAAAGAGTTTGGTGGGATCCTCAAAAAATTAAATGTGAAATTACCATATGACCCAGCAATTCCACTCCCAGGTTTATACCCCAAAGAATTGAAAACAGATACTCAAATAAAAGTAGACTCATGTTCACAGCAGCGCCGTACACAACAGCCAAAAGGTGGAAAGTGCCCAGATGTTCATCAGTGAATGGATGAGCAAATGGTAGTGTAGACACCATGCAATATTATTCAGTCATAAAAAGGAATGAATGATCCACGCCAATGTGCATGAGTCTCAAACACATCATGCTGAGTGAAAGGAACCAGACAAAGGGCAAGGAAATCACAAGTGGTGTTGATTCTGCTTATGTGAAATATACAGAATAGATAAATCCCACAGAAACAAAGCAGACTGGTGGTTGCAGGAGCTGGGGTTAGGGAGGAAAGGATACAGGAGTTCCTTTTGGGGTGATGACAGTGTTTTGAAAATAGAGGGGGTGATTGTATAACATTATGAATGTACTTAATGCCACTGAATTGTTCACTTTAAAATGGTTAATTTTATGTTAATGATTATGTGAATTTCACCTCAGTTAAAAAAATAAATCCATTCTAAAAAATAACAAGGCTATATCTTATTTGGTGGTAAGTGACTTTGTGATTATGCTTTTTTTTTTTAAAACTAAATTACACCTTAGATTTCACCCATTTCTTCTCTCTAATGTCCTTTTCCTATTCCACGGTCCATCTAGGACACACGTTGCATTTGATTGTGCTGTCTTCTTAGTCTCTTCCAATCTATGACCATTTCTCAGTCTTCCCTTGCTTTGCATGGCCTTGACAGTTTTGAGACATATTAAGCAGGTATTTTATAGAATGTCTCACAATTTGGGATAGTCTAATACTTCTCATGAGGAGCATTTGGAAAGAATACCACTGAGGTGGATTGCCATGTTCATGGCATCCCATCGGGGGCCCATGGGGCCAGCATGAGGTATTCCTGTGACATGAACCTTGATCACTTGGTTGAGGGAAGGGAAATCTGCCAGATTTCTCCATTATAAAGTTATTGTTTAAGTCTAGCCCATATCAAGGGGAGGGGAAGTTAGCTTCACCTCCGGGAAGAGGGAAGTATTTACATATATTATTTGGAATTCTGTAAGGAAGTTTTATCTCTTCTCTCCATTTATTTATTCAATCATTTATATCACTGTAGACTCAAGGATATTTAATTTATTCTTTGCGTTATAAGACCACACAACATTATTTATTTTGTTGCTTAAATTGTTCCAGCTTTGGCCATTCTAAGCTCTTTCAGGTTGGTTTTCAGGCTGGAGTGCAGTGGCACAATCTCTGCTCACTGCAACCTCCGTCTCCCAGTTTGTGCCTCAGCTTCTCAAGTAGCTGGGATTACAGGCCTGATCCAACATGCCTGGCTAATTTTTGTATTTTTAATAGAGACAGGGTTTCACCATGTTAGCCAGGCTGGTGTTGAACTCCTGACCTCAAGTAATCTGCCCGTCCTGGTGTCCCAAATTGCTGGGATTACAGGCGTGAACCACCACACCCAGCCTTTCAGGTTGGTTCTTATGTTTCTTTGACGAGTGCCCCTGACCCCAACCCCTTTGTAAAGCACTTCCTTACTTTCGGGCACTGTAAGACTCCAGGCTCATCTTGTGTTTTTTCTGCCTTGGCCCTAGAATTTCTCATTTCTCATCTCTCCAAGAAGCCCTGGTTCCTTTTATTGGAGAATGATATTAGAGACCAAGATCTGGGTACTGTGTGTGCTTGTTACTACTAGGGTATGACTGTTTGTAGAACTTCTCTGCAGACAGAGGGAGGTGTAGAAACATGTATATTGACTCCTCTATATGCACATATCTGTGATGATTTCTGTATGTATCTATCTGTGTACAGAACATGAACATGACCTCATGGTTATGTCTTCGATACTGATTCAGCACCACAGGGTTCACTGTAGCTTTCCTCCTTTGCTTATTTGTAACTTCTTTCTTGGACAGTGAGAAACCTGGCTCTCATTACTCATAATTTGTTTACTTATCTGTTCAACCCTAATGTGTATATAAAGTAGTTTCAAAATTGCTAACCTGAATCCCTGTGAGAAACATCTTTACCGCCTAGCTAGAGTACAGTGTTTACATCAGATTCCTTTTGTCTTCAGCCTTAGAGTTTTCTTTTCTTTCTTTCTTTTTTTTTTGAGACAGAGTCTCACTCTGTCGCCCAGGCTGGAGTGCAGTGGCACGATCTTGGCTCACTGCAACCTTCGCCTCCCGGGTTCAAGTGATTCTCCTGCCTCAGCCTCCCAAGTAGCTGGGATTGCAGGTGCACGCCACCATATCAGGCTAATTTTTATATTTTTAGTAGAGAGGGGATTTCATCATGTTGGCCAGGCTGGTCTCGAACTCCTGACCTCAGGTGATCCTCCCGCCTCTGCCTCCCAAAGTGCTGGGATTACAGGCGCGAGCCACCACACCTGGCCAGCCTTAGAGTTTTCAATGAAAACACCATTTTGCAACGTTACTTAGGTGAGCTACACTTTTCCCCAACCTTCAGTGAGGTTATGCCATACAACTTTAGTATAGTTAGATTTGTTATTCTAGCCTGGGTTTCTCCAGCATCCTGACTTTTGGTTTGTAATTGGTATTCATTACAGGTCACTCTTTGGGATGGACAGTGCTGTGGTTTTTGACAAATGCATAATCATGGGTCCATCATCCCAGGACCACACAGAACAGTTCTGTCACCCTTAATCTCCTCCATGCTGCCCTTGTAGTTAATTCCTGTCACTCTCCCACCCTTTTGCAGACACTGTACTGGTTTCTATCTGAGTTATGTATGGCTTGGCTTCTGATAGCAACTTTATTGTTATTTTTAATTTATTTTTTGGGATGGAGTCTTGCTCTTGTTGCCCAGGCTGGAGTGCAATGACATGCTCTCACTCACTGCAACCTCTGCCTTCCGGGTTCAAGTGATTCTCCTGCCTCAGCCTCTTGAGTATCTGGGACTACAGATGTGTGCCACTACGCCCGGCTAATTTTTTTTTTTTTTTTTGTATTTTTTTTAGTAGAGATGGGGTTTCACCATTTTGGCCAGGCTAGTCACGAACTCCTGACCTCAGGTGATCTGCCTGCCTCGGCCTCCCAAAGTGCTGGGATTACAGGTGTGAGCCACCGCGCCCGGCCCTGATAGCTTTAAAGAATGTTTGTAGATAGGAACATTACTTGAGAGCAGAGGTTGTCATCTATGATCCATGTCAGTTGCTACCAGGATTTAAGTCCAGCCCTGACACTTCTCTTTCTGTCTCAATTTTCCCATCTGTAAATGGGTGTAATAAGAATCCCAGCCGCGTGGGGGTTATCAGGAGGAATAGATAAGATAATAGCAATTGGCGCAGTGTCTGGCCCATAATATGTAATCCAGTCTTGATAATAATACTTCAGTTGTATTTGTTATCATCATCATCGTGGTGGGGTATCAAAAGAGAACGTTTAAAGGGGTCAGGAAAAGGAGTCTCCTCGGGTTGCTGGTGGTGGTGAGAAGGCTTGAACTGTCTCTTCGTAAGCAGGTAGAAGGGGAGCAGAGAAGCTGTGCCTGTGGTCAGCATTTGGTTCTCGACAAGCCCTTCCTCTGGTGTTTGTGGTGTGCCTGTACTCACAGGATGGACCCTGGAGCTGGGCCTCCCTGAGGAGACAGAGTCTGTCGCTCCGAAATTGCCCTCAGCGGGGGGATTTCAAGGGTTTACATTGTCTCTTCTACTTCCAGACTTTTTTGTTTTTCACTGAGAAGATGATATCACAACAGCCCAGAAAGAAGAAAATCACCATCATTCCAACACCCATGTGGGTTGTTTTGTTAGTTGCTGTTCCCCCATGCCTGTGTTTCTACGTCAATGTAGACATTTTATTTATTGTAGCATAAGCATTTTTCCTTGTTGCTACACAGTCTTCATAATCCTATTTCCTGATGTGACAGTTGCGTCAAGGAGATTCCACATCTTTCACTAAACCATTCCCACTGTTTTACGGTGCAACTTCTGCATAAATATCATGTTTTGCTTCTGCTGATTTATTCCCTTAGGATATATTCTCCAGAGTAGGAATTTTTAGTCAAAGGATAGAAATGTCTTAATTATTTACAGCGTTTTACAGGAATAAATCATTGCATCTTTCTTTTCTATGTCAATCTGTATTTCCTCAGAACAAAACCACTTAAGGATGTGATCAAACATCTGGTGAAGTGTTCAAGACTAGTGCCCCGACAGATCGTTAATAAACGTATCCTCTGACCATGTCATGAATGCTTTTCTAAAAACCAGGATTTCCCTGATTCCCTGAGCTCTTGCCGCCCTTCCCCCAGACTTCAAGTTCTCCTTCCCAGTACTTCTAGAAGGGAACTTGCCCAAAGTCTCTGGTCTTTTTCTCAGAAACTCATCCTTTATTTACTTTTAGAGTCAGGACTTGTTTGCATATGTAAAACCAGGACCATATTGTTTGCAGATGCTGGGGGTGCTGCCAGATAATTGAATGTAAAATGCTGAGGCTTTTAAGTCATTTTTACAAACCTGGACACAAAGGAATATTTTCTTAGGATTAAAAAAAAAAAGAGCATGAAGTAAAGATTGTGAGATTGGGTTTCTAATTCAAACATTTCACTTTGTATTCTTAGTAGTCAGGATACAGAAAGTGAGGGGCCTGGAGGTGGGGGAGAGGTGGGGTCCGGGAGAGAAAACTTTACAGATTCACCATCTAATTGAGAGAAACAAAAGCACAAAAGGAGTTAGGATAAATGACCAGCACAATCCCAGTAACCTGTGATCCCGCCGCTAGCATTAACAGTACCTAGCTTTTTATATTAAGGTGAGAGTAGCTCAAAAGTAACTGTGTTTCCTATCAGTGTTGATAAAATCCTTCTCCCCCTTCAGGGAGAGGTTCAGATGTGATAGCAGTAGCCCAAGTGTGACAGCAGTTGTTAAAAGTGAATTGTTTTTGGCATGAAATGCTTTTGTTTAAAAAATGAAATCAGTGTGGAAGTCCTTTCTGTCCTGTCTAGCACTGATAAAAACAGATGAGAGTTTCTTACACAGGTTGACTGGCTTAAACTAAAATGTTGGGTTTCTTCTCCAAGTACGTTTTGAAATCTGCCTTAATATCTGCGAATACAATGGGGAAAAGCGTGAGTTCTGGCTGGGCGCGGTGACTCAACGTCTGTAATCCCACACTTTGAGAGGCCAAGGCAGGAGGATTGCTTGAGCCCAGGAATTTGGGACCAGCCTGGGCAACATAGTGAAACCCCGTCTCTACAAAAAATTTAAAAATTAGCTGGGTGTGGTGGTACCTTCGTGTATACTCAGCTACTCAGGAGGCTGAAGTGGGAGGATTGCTTGAGCCTGAGAGGTTGAGGCTGCAGTGAGCGGAGATGGTGCCACTGCATTCCAGCCTGGATGACAGAGTGAGACCCTGTCTCAAAAAAAAAAAAAAAAAAAAAAAGTGAGTTCTGAGGTCCGGCTCAAGGGTGCAGCTTTTGCGTGGGCCCCCCATTCAACTGGGACAGGTGTGGCCAGTGTGCTCCATTCTGCGCAGAAGCCTCAGCCCCTCATGGACTCCACTCCAGGCAGCCCTGCTGGGAGTGGGGATTAGTAGGGGTGGTGTCTGCTGCGCCTGGGTGGAGCAGCTCTCACTCACAGGCTGCGGGGGGCCTTTGGAAGCTGGGGGCTGGCCCAGGCTGCTCACAAGGGTCCTGTGGGACAGCTGGGCAGCTCCATCCAAAGCAGCAGGGAGTGGCAGGTCCAGTCCCTGCAGGAAGCTGGAAGCCTGGCATCCAGAGGCCTAGCCAGGTTCCGATTTACAGGGCAAGTCAAGGACTTGCAGAGTCAGGGCTGGGGAGTGCAGTGATGATGGAGGAGTGAGTGCGCCTAAAGGCACCCCCTGGAGTACCCTCTGGCTGCCCTGGTATTGCTTTTGAGAGGTGAAGCCAGCTGGACTTCCTGGGTGCAGTGGGGACTTGGAGAACTTTTCTTACAAGAGGTTTGTAAAATGCACCAATCAGTGCTCTGTAAAAATGCACCAATCAGTGCTCTGTAGCTAGCTAGAGGTTTGTAAAATGCACCAATCAGTGCTCTGTAAAAATGCACCAAACAGCGCTCTGTAGCTAGCTAGAGGTTTGTAAAATGGACCAATCAGCATTCTGTAAAGTGGACCAATCAGCACTCTGTAAAGTGGACCAATCAGCAGGACATGGGCGGGGACAAATAACGGAATAAAAGCCCGCACCCCCCCCACCACCAGCCAGCGGCAGCAACCTGCGTGGGTCCCTCACCTTGTGGGAGCTTTGTTCTTTTGCTCTTCACAATAAATCTCCTTGCTGCTCACTCTTTGTGTCAGTGTCATCTTTAAGAGCTGTAACACTCACCAGGAAGGTAGGCGGCTCCATTCTTTTTTTTTTTTTTTTTCTTTTTTTATTTGAGACGGAGTCTCTCTGTCGCCCAGGCTGGAGTGCAGTGGCGCAATCTCGGCTCACTGCAAGCTCCGCCTGCTGGTTTCACGCCATTCTCCTGCCTCAGCCTCTGGGGTAAGCTGGGACTACAGGCGCCCGCCACCACGCCCGGCTAATTTTTTGTATTTTTAGTGGAGGCGAGGTTTCACCATGTTAGCCAGGATGGTCTCGATCTCCTGACCTCGTGATCCGCCGGCCTCGGCGTCCCAAAGTATGAGTGAGCGAGCCACTGTGCCCGGCCCGCGGCTCCATTCTTTTTTTTTTTTTTTTTCTTTTTTTGAGATGGAGTCTCGCTCTGGCATCCAGGCTGGAGTGCGGTGTCGCGATCTCGGCTCACTGCAACCTCCGCCTCTCGCGTTAAAGCAGTTCTCCAGCCTCAGTCTCCCAAGCAGCTGGGATTATAGGCGCCTGCCACCACGCTGTGGCTTCCTTTTTGAAGTCAGCGAGACCACGAACCCACCGGCAGGAACCAACTCCAGACACACTTTGACCGTGGTAACTTCTTCTGTTTTAGGATCTGCTTCGCTCTCTGCGCCTCTTGTTGCCCGTCTGTAAAATGAGGCTGAAATGGCAGGTGGAGTGGAACTGTGAAGCGCCTTTCCGGTGGCTGGAGGTGCCCTGGTGAAGTCTCCCGGTCCTGGGCTGTTCCAGTCAGAGGCAGACAGGGCCTGGCTGAGGTCTTGTCGTCTGTGCAAATTCTCTCCTCCTCTAAAGCAGTGCCTAAAAATACTGTTTAATGTTTGAACAGGAAGCCCTCGGTTCTCATGGTGGCGCTGCACTGTTCACTTAGGTCAGCACAGATTTGTGCTCTTTGTTTTGCTTTTAGGGGGATTTTTTTTTCCCCTAGAGAAAGGTTAAAACTGTGTGTCTTCATTGGGACTCAAGTTCTGGCTAGTTTTGGGATTTGGGCCAATTGCTTCATTCCGCTCAACCTAGATTTGGGATGTGGGACAAATTTCTTTTTTTCCAAGCTTGCGTTCCTCATCTGTGGGGCAGGGACCGTTTGTTCTGGCCTCAGGGGTGCCCATAGGGTTCCATCGGGCCAGGAGCCTGCCAGAGCAGTCCCTGCATTGTAGGGGAGCTGTGCCTTTTGACCCTCGTTCTGTGGTAATTCTTTTCCTCTCACCCAAATCTGGCACAGGGCTGGGCATGTGTAGGGATTCTTGTTAAATTTTACCGAACCAAATTTTCTAGGCCAAGGATCCCCACTGGTAAGAGGAAAGGAAAATGGAAAACAGAAAACAACAAAGGAAAATGTTTTCATCAGGGTGATTCAACCCGGGCCATCAGGTCCCAGGCTGGTGGGCTAGGAGGGGCTGCAGCCATGGGGTTTTGGGACTTCCCGGGTGTGGACGGGGTGGCCTTGTGAGTGCAGAAAGCCGCCTGGAGCATTAACTTTGATCTGCCCTCTCCAGGCCTCCCTCAGCCCCAGCCTCCCTCCCTGCAGGGCTGGTGGTCGCTGTGGCTTTTGACTTGCAGGACGCTGTTTCTGTCGTAACTCTTGGTATTCTATTTGAAAATGCTGTAACAAAGCAGAAACCTGCCACCTTTTCAGGGACTCACCAGTAACTGTTTAGTGTTTGTGTTTGTTTTTCCTCATTCTAAAATTCCCTGTAGAGTTTAAGGATCTTTTGAGAGATGGTCTCACAGACAGCCCCAGCACTGTAGATGGTTTAGATACATTTGTTTTTGCTGATGTTTCCACTTTTACCCCTCTCTGTTCTGAAACTCATTCTCTCCTCGTTTTTTTTCTTTTTTTTTTTCCGGCTCAGAAGTTGGACGGACTAGCGAAGATCCGGACTGCTCGGGAAGCTCCATCCGAATGTGTCTGCCCCCCAGGTAAGTGAAGGTTGAGCTCCCTTCTGGCTCCTGCGTTCGGCCGCCGTTTGCTTGGGATTGCTGAGAACAGCATGGTCCGGAAGGTGGACTGGGGTGTCAGGCTGTCGTCTTCGTGCACTGGCCTGGGGCCTTTCTTTCCCACATTGACCCTGGCAGGCTCTCTGGTCGGTTTCCAGCAAAGTAAACGGACTCGGTTTGCTGGGTGGTATTGGTGGAGGAGCTAAGACATTGTCGGAGATGACTTAGCTGCCTGAAGATTTAGATGGTAGGGAAGTAGCAGCTGGCCCATTTCAAAGATGGAGAAAGGGGTGTGAACTGATGGGAGGTGACAGCCTGGAACCCCAGTTGCCACCACTGTACCAACATTGCAACCAGAGCTCTATGTCAGACGTGCAGAAGGTAGATAAATAGTGGACGTAGCCTTCTTGTTTTCATTTCTTGCGGTGGAGGCAGAGGAAGGAAACAGGCAATGAGGTCTGAATTATTCAAATTATCATAGACTCTCTTTGGTTTTGCTGGTGCAGACCAGGATGGCTGTGAATGAAACCAGGAATTGTTGACTTCTAATCCACATGGCTCAAATCCAGGCTCATAACAGGTCTCCTGGGTGTCCTCAGGGGAGCTTTGCACAGGCCATGGCCCAGTGTGTGGTCTCTAACACTGGTGTTTTCAGGGTTAGAATGACCCTCCCTTAGAATGGTGTCTGATACCAGTGGATGAGTGGAAAATGGTGATGTGTCTCAGACTTCCCGACGTGCAGGGAAAGGTGACTTTTGGGTGATGTGTCTCAGACTTCTCGACGTGCAGGGAAAGGTGACTTTTGGGTGATGTGTCTCAGACTTCTCGACGTGCAGGGAAAGGTGACTTTTGGGTGATGTGTCTCAGACTTCTCGATGTGCAGGGAAAGGTCTCTTTTGGGTGATGTGTCTCAGACTTCTCGACATGCAGGGAAAGGTGGCTTTTGGGTGATGTGTCTCAGACTTCTCGACGTGCAGGGAAAGGTGACTTTTGGATGATGTGTCTCAGACTTCTCGACGTGCAGGGAAAGGTGACTTTTGGGTGATGTGTCTCAGACTTCTCGACCTGCAGGGAAAGGTGACTTTTGGGTGATGTGTCTCAGACTTCTCGACGTGCAGGGAAAGGTCTCTTTTGGGTGATGTGTCTCAGACTTCTCGATGTGCAGGGAAAGGTGGCTTTTGGGTGATGTGTCTCAGACTTCTCGACGTGCAGGGAAAGGTGGCTTTTGAGTGATGTGTCTCAGACTTCTCGACATGCAGGGAAAGGTGACTTTTGTTATTGGTCCAGAGAAGACAGGAGCTGCGCAGTGTCCCTTGTCTTCTCTCTCATTCCTTCCATTAGCCAAGTGTCCGGAAACCAAACTCACTGAAAACATCCCAGGGTTGGGAGATGCCCCGAGATTTCTGCAAAGGTATATCTCATGGTGTGAAAATTCCGTCTCTGAGGGCCAGGTGGGAGAAGAATTTTATGGTTGAGCTTGAGCTAGCCTTTATAGGACCTCTGAGATTTTAATACGAGAAAGAGGATTTGACAAGGGAATGACTCCATTCACAGATCAAGAAGTCAGAAACTGTGGCCGGGCGCGGTGGCCCACGCCTGTAATCCCAGCACTTTGGGAGGCCGAGGCAGGTGGATCACCTGAGGTCAGGAGTTCGAGAGCAGTCTGGCCAACGTGGTGAAACCCTGTCTCTACAAAAAATATAAAAAATTAGCCAGGCATGGTGGCGCATGCCTGTAGTCACAGCTACTTGGGAGGCTGAGGTGGGAGAATTGCTTCATCCTGGGAGGTGGAGGTTGCAGTGAGCCGAGATTGCACCATTGCACTCCAGCCTGGGTGACAGAGCGAGACTCCATCAAAAAAAAAAAAAAGTCAGAAATTGCAATTACATGGGAGGAAAAATTCACATCCACAAATGGATTTTTAGATGATCTGCAAAATGTGTAAAATGCCAACAGTCCTTCTTTTTCGCTCCCCTCTTTCTGAGTGTTACTGGGTGCATACCTGTGTGTGTCTTTTGAACTGGGAGTCACGCCCCATTTGTGAGACACCAAATCCGTTTAGTGGGTTGCCGCCAGCAACCACCAGCATGAAATTGTGAGCTGGCACAGAAGTCTGGAATAAAAAAGGCCCGAGTGAAATTTTGGTTTTGGCTATTAATATTTGTAGATTGGACTTGGATGGTGTGAGATGGGTTTCTTGCTGTGGGTTACTAACAGAAGGCTTGAAAGTCCCCAAGACAGATGATGGCTGGAGAGTGGGAGAAGGGGGACACAAGCTGGCATGGAGCTCCCGGATCAATCAGAACTGGAGCCACATCTTGGGTCTGCCCCTTACTAGCACTGAGGGTCTTTATCAGTAAATGATAACATCTTGAAGCGGGCTCTGGGGGGCTTTCTGAGGTTATGGAGAAGGTATAAGTTAAAGCCAGTGACTACAGATGGACCTGTGTCCTGCCTTCCATCAGGAGTGGGGAGCAGGGAACAGGGGTCCTGAACTCCTCTAGAAAGAGGCCCCCAAGAAGGTCTTGGGAAGACCATGGGGGACTGAAGGGCTGGTCAGAGCCTCTAGTCCCACCGAGAGGAAGGCTTGGTAGACTCCCCGGCTCCCTGGGGAGCCCTGATCATCAGCACCGTGCTGATGCTGTCCCAGGAACTCCAGGCTGTGATGGAGGCCATCCTGGTAGGTGTGGTCAGTGTGGCCTTGGGGTGCAGCATGACGACCCTAGCCAGACCCCTCAGCACACCCCTGTCCATGCCTGCACTTTCTCTCCTGTCACCTCGAGAGCCCCTTAGACCAGAACCTTCATCAACACTAAACCCCAGCAGGCCGGCCCATGAGCCCCTTGTCTTACAAAGAACAGAGGCCCTGTCTCCAACACCAGAAGTCCTAACTCATTCCTATTCTTCCCGGCTCCAAGGCTCCAAGGCTCTCCAGCGTGTCCCTCGGGCTTTTGGAGTGTGGAGACATAGACCACATTCTGCAGTGGGGCTCCCTGTCTGATTATAGCTGGCCGCAGCTCCCCACCTAGCAGCCCGGGGAGTCAGCGGAATCTTTTGTTGGATCCTAGCATGCAGCAGGCAGATAAGGAAGGCCAGAGGAGGGGCGGCTCTTCTGGATGTGCCACCCATTGCGAGGCTGAGTGTGGTGGCAGGGGCTTCTCTCTCGCCCCAGCCAGTGGATATCGCTGGCAGGAGGACTGGCGGGGGGCCCTGAGCTGGCTCTGGTGAGCCTTGCACCCATCCTCAATAAAATAGTGTAGTGGGTTGAATCCTGTCGCCCTCAAAAGATATGTCCAAGTCCTAACCCCCAGTACCTGTGAATGTGACCTTTGAAAATAGGGTCTTTGCGGGTGTAATTAGGGATCTCAGAATAGGTCATTCAGCATTTAGGGTGTGTCTACATCCAATGCCAATTGTCCTTAAATGAGGCAAGGAGAGATTTGAGGCAGAGACGCACAGACCAGAGGGCTAGGTGACAGCGGAGTGGGGATTGGCGTGCTGCGTGTGCCAGCCAAGAAACACCAAAATGCCTGCAGCCACCAGAGCTATGGAGGGGTGTGGGAGGGACTCTCCCTGAGGAGCCCGCCCCGCAGACACCTTGGACTTCTTGCCCCTAGAACTGGGAGGGCTTGTGGTAATTTTTTGCCACGGCAGACCTGTGTCTTATTTTATTTTACTTTACTTTTCATTTTTTTAATTTATTTATTTTTGAGATAGCGTTTCACTCTTGTTGCCCAGGCTGGAGTGCAATGGCGCGATCTCAGCTCACTGCAGCCTCTGCCTCCCGTATTCAAGCGATTCTCCTGCCTCAGCCTCCCGAGTAGCTGAGATTACAGGCTCCCATCACCATGCCTGGCTAATTTTTGTTTTTTTAGTAGAGACGGGGTTTCATCATGTTGGCCAGGCTGGTCTCCAACTCCTGACCTCAAGTGATCCACCTGCCTCAGCCTCCCAAAGTGTTGGACTACAGGCATGAGCTACCACACTCAGCTTTTTTATTTTATTTTATTTTATTTTATTTTATTTTATTTTATTTTAATTTGACAGAGTTTCGTTCTTGTTGCCCAGGCTGGAGTGCAGTGGTGCGATCTTGGCTCACTGCAACCTCCACCTCCCAGGTTCAAGCAATTCTCCTGCCTCAGCCTCCCAAGTAGCTGGGACTACAGATGCCTGCCACCACGCCCAGCTAATTTTTGTATTTTTATTAGAGACGGGGTTTCACCATGTTGGCCAGGCTGGTCTCGAACTCCTGACCTCAGGTGATACACCCGCCTCGGCCTCCCAAAGTACTGGGATTATAGGCGTGAGCCACCATGCCTGGCCCATTTCAACTAATTTTAAAGTAGTAACTCCTCCTCCTCCTTCTTTTTTTTTAATAACGCAACAGTTATCCCGCATTGTTTTTCATGGGCTGCCTTGTTCATGGGTTTGCCCTTTCTCTTTGAGGTGGTCTGTGCCCGTCTGTGTATCCGAGATAGCTGCTGCCTTGTTTTGGTCCAGGAAAGAATCTGGCCATGCTGTTGGAATGTCCTGTAATGCACTTGGCCAGTCCCCGCCAAGGACGTTTGGGTCATTTCCGACCCTGTGTTATTCAGACAGGGCTGCGTGTGTGCTGTGATGGAGGGAAGAAGGCCTGCTGTGTAGCCTGTTGTCTGACTTCCTCGTGCTTTGTTCTCCCAGGCACGCTGCAGGCCTGAGGGTATTGACTGAAGGACGGGAGCCCTCAGTCTGTGGGGAGAGGCTGGGCTTTACCGCAGCAAACACAGGTTCCTGCAGGGAGGCTCTGGCCAGGTGGGTCCTGAAGCCTCCCCCTGGGAGCTGCCCTATGGTCCGGCCTCCACCGTCTGTGAACAGTAGTGACTCGGGGGCATCCCAGGGAACTGGTGAGGGCCGGCACCTTGGAGCCTGGGAACCTGGACTTGAGTCTTGACTCCGCCTTGTAAATAACTGCCCTGTGGTCCCACTCCACGTGTCCTGGAGCCAAGGGTCACTGTGGCCCTTGCATTCACTCACTCTTTGGGTTACAAGCATCAGAACATTAATTAGTGTTCTGATCACCCTGCACTAATAAAGCGAAAAAGGAAATTTTTAGTGCAGACAACTAGAAATGGAAAGGTCTGAGGTGCAGCTGGCTTCAGGCCCATCTGGGCTCAGGGCTCGCTCTCCTCTCTCAGCTCTTCTCCGCTTGTCTTCAGACAGCCTCTGCTGGAGTGACCTATGCTTGGGAAGGTGGCCGCCAGTATAGCTCTAGGTGTATATCACATGTGCTCAGCAACCCCAGCAGATACAGCACTGTTCTTTCCCGAAAGTCTCAGAATTGGGGCATGGGGAGTGTTATGGGTTGAACTGTGTCCTCCCATATTCGTATCTTGAAGTCCTAACCCTCAGGGCTTCAGAATGGGACTGTGTTTGGAGATAACAATGTTCCCTTGGAGAGTAGGTGACATGAGGCCTTAGGGTGGGCCCTCATGACCGCTGTCCCTGTAATAAAAGGAGATTTGGACACGTAGACCCATGCAGAGGGCAGGCCATGTGAAGACACGTGGAGAAGACACTTTTGCTGAGCCATGAGCTCAGAAGGAAATCAGCCTGACGGCACCTTATCACATTTCTGCTGTTTTAAGCCGCACAGTCTGTGGTACCTTTTTATGTCCACACCCAGACACTAACCCAGGGAGTTATTGTTTAAGGGGCACCTCGTTTCTGTTTGGAAAGATGAAAAGTCCTGGAAGTGGATAGAGGGGATGGTTGTTGTGTTTAATCTTGGAACTTCGTGCTTTAAAATGCTCAGGTTTATGTTATATGTATTTTACCATGATTTTTTTTTTTACGTCCCAGAATGGATCCCAGTTTGCCTGGCTTGGGGCAGGTGCCTCTCCTTGAAAAATTGCACTGACTTGGAGCATGGGACACGTTGATGGGCCAGGTCATTGGTGGATCATGTGACCATTCTTGGAACCAGGGGAGACAAAGTGGGGGAGGGTTGGCAATACCAGAAGCATGTGGTGTCGGGGAGGGTGGTTCCTTCATGAAAAATTAGGATCTTTTCCCAGAAGAGAGAACGAATATAGCTGGGCACAAGCAGTAGGTGACCAGACTCTTCCGGTGACGGCTGGCCCAGTCACCGCCAGGTGGTTTGCAAAGGTGTAACCAAAGGGTTGGCTCCACTTAAAGCACACCAGGAGGGCTGGGCGTGGTGGCACACATCTGTAATTCCAGCACTTTGGGAGGCCGAAGTGGGCAGATCACCTCAGGTCAGGAGTTCGAGAGCAGCCTGGCCAACATGGCGAAACCCCGTCTCTACTAAAAATGCAAAAATTAGCTGGGCATAGTGGCACACGCCTGTAATCCCAGTTACTTAGGAGGCTGAGGCAGGAGGATTGCTTGAACTCAGGAGGCAGAGGTTGCAGTGAGCCAAGATTGAGCCATTGCACCCCAGCCTGGGTGACAGAGCGAGACTCCATCTCAAAGAAAAAAAAAAAGAAGAAAGGAAAAAATAAAACACACCAAGAGGCAGCGTGGCCCAGGGGAAAGTGTGTTGACTTCCCATCTAGGCTGCGTGGCCCGATTCTCTGTTGCTCACCGGCTCCGTGACCTCACACTTATCCTCCTTGTGCCTCGGTTTTCCACCTGTGAAGTGAAGTGGGGTTTCTGAGAGTAGCTGTGTCATGGGATGGTTTTGAGGATCAAATGGGTTCACATGTGCAGACAGCTTAGAACGAGGCCTGGCACTGCGTCCTCAGAGCTTGTCTGTTGTTAGGTCCGTCGCCATCAGTCGGGAGCTGCCAGAGAGGAAGGGAGAAGAGACACAGAGTAGGAGGCCACTGGGAATCTTCAGGAGGGGAAGAGCGAGGGCTTGGCAGACTTTACTGGCACGTTCTTCTAGGACGTGGGTATGAAGATGCTGGCGATGCTGGAGTGAGAGAAACAGAAAAGGAAAGTGTGTGGCCGTGAACCCTCATCAGCCACCCACGTGCCCAGAAGGCCTCGAGCAGAGCTGGGCTTCTGCCCGTCACGCTGTTTGCACTTGTTACTAACCAGGCTCAAACTGCCTGGACATTGTCAGGAACATTCCAGAATGGTATCATCCTTTTCGTTTTCTTTTTGTGTCTTTTTGGATCCTTGCAGAATATTGCAGAGACATTGTGCTTGGTTTCCAAGGATGGGCACTGTACTTGCAATGTCGGGTGATTTTCCAGAAATGAATAATAATCCAGAGTTTAATGCAAGTCAGAAATCCTCTGCTCCATCAAAACATTTGGCAGTTTGCGTAGAGGAGTGAAACTCCACTTAGGACCGTAGAAAGCACAATGTGGAAGTTATACAGAACCTGATACATTTCGTTGATAGTTTATGGAAAATGTCACAGAGCGGAACAGAAGTGGTAAAAGTTGCTCATATTCAGCCTGTTTACTGCCTTACTGCCTTTGTTGGCTGGAAAAGAGCCTAGCGAAGGGCACACGCTGTCTTGGGACTTTTTTTTTTTTTTTTTTTAAGATAGGATCTCACTCTGTCGGCCAGGCAGAAGTGCAGTGGTGCAGTCACGGTTCACTGCAACCTTGAACTCCTGAGCTCAAGTGATCCTCCTGCCTCAGCCGGGATAATAGCTGGGACCACAGGCGTGTGCCACCATGGCTAATTAAAAAAAATTTTCCTGGCCAGGCGCAGTGGCTCACGCCTGTAATCCCAGCACTTTGGGAGGCCAAGGCGGGGGGATCACAAGGTCAGAAGATCAAGACCATCCTGGCCAACATGGTGAAATCCTCTACTAAAAATACAAAAATTAGCCAGGTGTGGTGGCACGCGCCTGTAGTCCCAGCTACTCAGGAGACTGAGGCAGGAGAATCACTTGAACCCGGGAGGTAGAGGTTGCAGTGAGCCAAGATCGCACCACTGCACCCCAGCCTGGCGACAGAGTGAGACTCTGTCTGAAAAAAATTTTTTTTTTTTTTTTTTTAATTTTTTTTGGTGAGTTAGGAGCTCACTTTTTTGCCCAGGCAGGTCTCGAACTCCTGCTTTCAAAAGATCCCCTCCCAAAGTGCTGGGATTACAGGGGTGAGCCACCTTGCCCAGCCTCTCATAGGATTTCAATGCAAGAAATTGTTACCCTTTTTGGGATTATTTTTTATAGAATTTTTTAAAATGATACACGTATATATTTATAAGCATTAAATCTCAGTCGACTTGAGTTTATGGCAAAATTGAGTGGCCTATAAGGCAGCTACCTTGGTATGTCAGACTCTGCCAAGTGAAAGGAGGTCATTTGTGTGTCTGATTTTTTGGGGGGCACGAGAATACTCTGGAGGCTGGTTGCCATTCCCTCGCTTCACTATGCATAGGTATTTGTTCATTCATTCATTCATTCATTCGTCTCTCCTACCCTATTTTGTGCTGGTCCTGGGGGAGCTATTGACTAAGATTCTTAGAGGCAATTGCAGACCCAGTTGTTAGAGGAAGGCAGGAGAGGTACAAGACCCATAACAGATGCGGAGAATAGGATGAGCCCTGAGGAAACACCAGTCCTACAGAAATTACAAGGAGAGATCACTTCGGGTCAGGAGGATCTGGGTTGGAGGAGGGTCCTTCCTGGGGAAGATGATAATTGGGCAAGGTTTTGAAGACTGGTTGTCAGGTTAGCCACCTGGGATGGGGGATGCATTCTGAGAGACTGACATCCTGAGTGGAGGCAGAGGGGAGCTCCGAGCACCGGTGGGAACTCTTGTTTGCTTGGAAGGTGGCAGTGGGAGGGGAGGGTGAGTCCAGGGTCTGGAGAGATTGAGGCTTTATTCCATGGGACACAGTTGATGGTGTCTGAGTGGAATTTAGCTTTAAGACGAGGGCTCTGGAAACAGCATGAAGGACAGACTAGATCATACTTGGTTCCAACAGAGGGGCCCCTGAGGGGGTGCTCAGGGCAGGAGACAGCTTGCCTGGTTCACTGCAGCATCCCCTAAATCCAGCACGGTGCCAGGCACGGGGAGGAGGGTTGATAACGCCCTGTCGAATGGCCATGAGAATTGATAGCCGGGAACAGCTGTGAGAGGCACTGGGTCATGTGGTGGACAGAACTCACAAACTGGGTGGGTGGGCACAGGAGAAGACAGAGAAGCCTGAAGCAGCATGCCTTTGGGGAGGGGAAGCTGCGCAGAAACAGGAAATCCCCAAAGAGGGATCAATTTGGAAGAGAAGATGGTAAGCATGGTTTTGGGCAGTGGACCTTAAGAACCAATTTGTAAGACCCACTGATGAAAGGAAAAAAATAATTAGAAGTCTTCTCTTAAAGCATAGTTTAACCACCTGAGTCTATCAATTATAAAATGTGTCATGTCCTATAAATAAAGATCTTGAAGTTTCTGTGCTGACCATTGGAATCTGGAGATGTTCTTGTGACCACTAGATGGAGCCCATTATACTCATTAAATTCTATAGAAATTGAACAGGAATGTAAAAGAAAAATAATTTATATATATTTAAATATATAAATATAAAATATATTAATATAATATATAACATATAATATATTAATATATATTTTAAAATTACTAGAAAGCACACAAAAGTTCAAACCAAGAGCAGTGACACACAAAGTTAACCACCTGCTCTGGTGTTTCTCTCCAAAAATGGAAGACCCTCAGAATTTTCCAGATGGTTCCAGAATCAAGCGGTTTGCTGTTGGTTTGGGGAGATGATGAAGATTCTGTGAAAGGTAGACTATCTGTTAGAAAACAGATTTCTAGAACATTTGCCACTGACCCAGTACTTACAGAGCACCATCAGGTTTAATTGTAGTGGAGAATCCCTGAAACTCTGGGAAGACAAGACCAGAGCTGTCTTGACCCCAGCTTGGCCAACTCCGTGCCAACTATTGAGTGACAGGTGCAGCCTTTTACTCTGTGGGGTGTCATTATCACACGCCCCCCTATGCCAGGAGCTCACCCACATGCTGTAGCGGCCTTTCCTGGGGGACAGGTTCAGTGCAGTAATACTATCTGGCTTCTTACCTGACTTCTTATGCCGGGGTATATTCCACATGGATTGAAGATCTAAATGTAAAAAATACAACCATGGCTGGCTAGACAAAAATACGATACATCACTTTTTAAAATTACGCAGTAGAAACAGATTTTATAAGCCTGGCACTGAAGTCAGAAACCATAAAGCCGTGCTTCTCAACTGGGACTGTTTTGCCCCCAGGAGGTCACATGGCAGTATTTGGAGACATTTGTAGTTGATCATACTTTGTGGGTGCTACTGGCATATGGACTAGGTAGAGGCAGGGGTGCTGTTGAGTGTCCTACAAAGCCCAGGACAGCCACCACCACAAAGAACTATCCGGTCCCAAATGTTAGTAGTGCCCAGGTTGAAAAACCTTGCCATAGAAGAAAACATTTCCTTGAACATTTTAAGCTTAAAAGGTTAAATTTTCTGTATAGACAGAAAAATCTTCTTTAGTTTACATATTTGGGCAAAAACTAAGTGAAGTTATGTGAACTCAGATCAGCTCTCACAGATAAAACAACTTGCTAGGTTTCCTAGTTTCCTGGGAGTAGAGCACTTCAGATTCCAGAAATGATATATTTGCACATTATGGTAATTTGCTAGAAGCAAGAATGGAGTCTCATGGAGGTATCTGATCATTCTTTTGCCCAACCAGATCCTTTCTTTACTTAATATTAAAAAATAATTTTAATTTTCATTACAGAATGTTTCAAATATATAAAAAAGTACAGAGAAGAATATAATACTGATGTCCGTTTCATCTAGATTTAATGAATAACATCATTTTCTCATGTTTGTTATTTTGTTGTTAAAGAAATTGTTTTTGTTTTTGTTTTTGTTTTGTTTTTTGAGACAGGATTCTGCTCTTGTTGTCCAGGCTGGAGTGCAATGGTGCAATCTCGGCTCACTGCAACCTCTGCCTCCCGGATTCAAGCGATTCTCCTGCCTCAGCTTCTCACGTAGCTGGGATTACAGGAGCACACCACCACGCCTGGCTAATTTTTTGTATTTAGTAGAGACAGGGTTTCACCATATTTGTCAGGCTGGTCTCAAACTCCTGACCTCAGGTGATCTGCCCACCTCAGCCTCCCAAAGTGATGGGATTACAGGCATGAGCCATCGTGCCTGGCCAAGAAATGAAATGTTTTAGACAGAGCCAAGGTACCAGTTCCTCTCCCATTCCCCTATTCTCTGCCAGGCAACAAATGTCTTGAGTTGGTAGCTATACTTTTTCTGCATGTTTTCTGTATATTATATTTTATTAAATATGTGTACCATGGCAATATATTTTATTGTCCTACTACTTGTTATTTGTGTGTCTTTTCATCTGTTTTATCCCTTCATTTTTTTTTTCAAGAAGTATTTGTATGGGTCCGGGCATGGTGGCTCATGCCTGTAATCCCAGCACTTTGGGAGGCCGAGGCGGGTGGATAACCTGAGGTCAGGAGTTCGAGACCAGCCTGACCAACATGGTGAAACCCCGTCTCTACTAAAAATACAAAAATTAGCCGGGTGTGGTGGCATGCGCCTGTTATCCCAGCTCCTCGGGGCTGAGGCAGGAGAATTGCTTGAACCTGGGAAGCGGAGGTTGCAGTGAGCCGAGATCGTGCCATTGCACTCCAGCCTGGGCAACAGAGCGAGACTCCATCTCAAAAAAAAAGAAGTATTTGTATGGATGCTTGCAGGTCTAGTCATTTCCTGTGACTGTCGTTTCTACAATGGAGCACTGCAGCATGCCATCGCAGTGTATGAACATACTACTATTCATCTCGTCTGCTGCTGATAGACATTTATTTTTATTTAAGTTTTTGTTGTTTTTGCTATTAAAAAGCCTTGATGGACATTTTTAAAAATTCTGTATAGAAAGCAAATGCCACCTTAAGTTTGAAAATAAGTGACAAAATGAAAAAACAATTTCAACACATACAACAAATACATAGTTAATATGCATGAGATATAAAGTGCTCTTATACAAGAATAAGGACAAGCCAGAGGCTCTAGTAAAGAATGGGCAAAGATGGGAAACAGAGGTTGCAGGGAGCCGAGATTGCGCCACTGCACTCCAGCTTGGTGACAGAATGAGACTCTGTCTCAAAAAAAAAAAAAAAAAAGAATAGGCAAAGGATGTGGATAGGGATCCCCACAGGACATTGGCAGGACGTGGAGGTGGACTGAGTGAGGGGGAGCAAGGGAGAGGGAAGATCGGGTGACTCCCGGTTTTTGGATGATGCCCAGATTTTTGAGTTGGGAACTCACTGGTGCCACTTGCCAGGATGAGAGCAGGACCAGGATGGGGACGATTAAGAGTTTGTTGAGATCTGTTAATTTTGGCATGACTGTGGGACATATGAGAGGAGATATGCAATCAGCCCTTGGATTAAATGGCCCAAAAAAGGTGGAGGCAGCAGTGCAGGGCCCGGCCGGAGTGGGCATTTGTCACAGTGATTCTGACTACATCTGTACACACGGTGCCGGGAGTGATGCTGCTATGCTGGCTGCCTTCCTTAGCCCAGAGTCCAGCAGGCCTCTTTGTTCTTTACAGAGTTTGCCAAGGTTCCCCAGAGAAACAGAACCAATAGGGTGTGTGTGTGGGGGTGAGGGGGGGTATGTGTGTGTGGGTGTGGGGGTGGGTGTGTTTGTGGGTGGGTGTGTGTGGGTGGGTATGGGGGTGTGTGGGGGGTGGGTGTGGGTATGTGGGTGTAGGTGTGTGGGTGTGTGTGGGGGGTGGGTGTGGGTGTAAGTGTGCGTGTGGGATGTGTGTATGGGTGGGTGTGGGGTGTGGGTGTGTATGGGGGTGTGGGTGTGGGTGTGTGTAGGTGGGTGGGTGTGGGGGTGTGTAGGTGGGTGGGTGTGGGGGTGTGTGTCAGTGTGTGTGGGGGGTGTGTGGGGGGTGGGTATGTGGGTATAGGTGTGGGTGTGGGGGTGTGTGGGGTGGGTGTGTGGGTGTGGGGGGTGTGTATGGGTGTGTGTGTGGGTGTGTGGGGGGTGGGTGTGTGGGGGGTGTGTATGGGGGGTGTGTGTGTGTGGGGGGGTGTGGGTGGGTGTGTGTGGGGGGTGTGTGTGTGGGTGGTTGTGGGGGTGTGGGTGTAGGTGTGTGTGGGGGTGTGTATGGGGGTGTGTGGGTGTGTTTGTGGGTGTGAGTGTGTGGGTGTGGGGGTGTGTATGGGGATGTGTGGGTGTGTGTGTGGGTGTGTGGGTGTGTGTGCCCACACGTGCATGCATAAAGAGATTTATTTGAAGGAATTGGCTCACGTGATTATGGGGACTATCAAGTCCAAAATCTGGCCCAGGAGAGCCAATATTCTTACCCATGTTCTTTCCCATGTTCTCGCCACCCGCCTTTTTTCTCACTGCCGGTCATAGAGGTGACTTGGGCCAGGGCTCGGCTCTGCTGAGTTCCGAGTGTGCCCCAGGGGCTGATGATTGAAAGTCATTTGCATTTAGCTCGGTGCTGGCGTGAATCAGATACTGTCGGGGTACTTGCCACTCAGTGTCACGGAAATGTATTCCCTACGGGGAAATAGTTTGGAAATACCTTCCCTGAAAAGCCTTCTCTACCTTTTGCAGCTGACATTTCCTGTTTTACTTCCCAAATTGCCTGA
Source organism: Homo sapiens (assembly GCF_000001405.40). Classification (NCBI taxonomy): domain Eukaryota; kingdom Metazoa; phylum Chordata; class Mammalia; order Primates; family Hominidae; genus Homo; species Homo sapiens. The sequence continues at coordinate 178,547,062 of NC_000005.10, read as the reverse complement.
ATTGAGCAGAGTTTGGGAGCTCTGTGGACCCAGGCGCTCCCAGAAGGATGCCCCCCAAGCTTGGAAGGCCACTCTGCATGCGAGCGGCTTCCCTCCGGCTTCTCTGCCCTGGAGCCCCTGTGCCTCCTCCGTGTTCCTCCAGGGGCCTCACACAGGCCCCTTGTGCTGCCCCACAGCTCGGGTGCCCCTGGCCTTGCAGAGATGGTGCCCACAATCTCTGCTGTGAGCCTGCCAAGCCCACACCTTTGGCACGGAGTTGCCTCAGGCTGCCTTCTGTCCTTGTGGGGCTGATGGAAGCGGGTGTCACGGACAGAAATAGCTGCCCTTGCTACATGGTACAAATAGGACTGGCTGTGGCAGAAACCTGGACAGTTTTCTGTTTTCCCTTCATCCTTGCATTTGGTTCCCTCATCCCAGTCCCACTCTGCCCTCGTGAACCCTCAGTCCTTTTACCTCATCGTCCAGTAAGTGTTAGTGGCGCGTCACCGCAGCCAGGCCCTGGGACGGCCCCCAGTGTCAGGACGAGGCAGCTCTGGGGGGCAGACGGCCAGCTTTGCAGGGTCTGCACCCTCATCCTGGGAGCAGAGAGGAGGGAGGGGATCCAGGGAGGGTCCTGGGAGAAGAGCTGAGATGGCTGGTGAACAAGTTAGCATCCTGTGGTTGCTGGCAACAGAAACCAGCTCCTCTGCCTATCTAGACAAAAGTGGCGAACAGTGGAAGAAATGCATGAGGATTGAGGCTTGGGAAGGATGGGGTGCAGGGTGGTTCCGGAATTTAGGCAGGAACGGGATCTAGGAATGGAGGGGTGATACCCCCACCTCGGGAACAGGAGGCCTCTTACACATATCTGCCCCCCGCCACCCCATATTTCATGTGTGCATGGCTCTGTTTGAGGTGGAGGGGAGATAGAGTCTTACTGGCCAGGTGGGGACCCTGTGGCCACCCCTCAGCCTGAGGCTTCCAGGGCAGGGCTGAGACATAGGGTGAGCACCTCCCGGGCAGCCTCCCGGCTCCTTGGAATCTAGGGTGCCTCGTGGAGGAGGGGTGTCAGGGTTTGGATGCAGGTGGGCCCAGCTCTGGGAACTTGAGCCAGTTACCTAATTCTTAAAACTCTCCAACTCCTTGTGCATAAAATGGGGTAATACGATGTACCCTATGGGTTTGTTTTGAGGATAAACTGAGGCAAGTTTATGTGGAAATGCTTGGCACACAGTAGGCATCAAATATGTCTGTTCATGTATCCCTGTGGGAATCGACCTGTGGACCTCAGGCAGTGGGATGTGGGGGTGATAGGAGGGAGCTGTGCCTGCAGCTTGTGCCAGGGTGCAAGTTCCTTCTGTGGCTGCCCTGTGGAAAAGCACATCATCCCTGCTTAGACCCTCGGTTCACTTGGGGCCAGAATCCCTCAGCAGACCTTCTGCTCAATCATGGAGAGAAAGCAACTCCTGGCTTTTAGGAGAGCCCTTGAACTCGAGGTTCCTTTTGCTGCCCTGTAGGTTATTGGCAGGCCGAGTGTTAAAGTCCTTTTCTTCCGTGTCCCCTTGCAGTTTCCCAAAGGCTCTTGTTCCTCCCCGCCCCTGGCACCCACTGTTCTTTTCATTCTTTTCAGTTCTGCCTTTAGAAATAGGACTGAATGCTGGGAGAGCTGCCTTCCCTGTGAGGTCATGAGTTTCATGACACTAATGGGCTTGAAGTGGCCTGTTGTCCGGTCATGTCTTTAGAAGTAGCCTCGTGCGGAACCTGAGCCCCCTGTTGGGCCAGCACAGGGAGAGGCTCAAAGTGCCGTAGCCTGAGACTGTGAGGGGCGTGGGGGCTCAAGAGGAGGGCATAGCCCAGGGAACAGAGGATGCCCAGACCACCCATGAGGGGCACCCGCCTCCCCCATCAGGAACTAGAACACCCCCCACCCCCTCTATGGCCCTCATACTGTGGGGAATGTACTACTTTATTTATTTTTATTTATTGTTATTGTTTCCTTAGAGTCAGGATCTCACTCGGTTGCCCAGGCTGGAGTGCAATGATCACGGCTCACTGCAGCCTTGAATTCCCGGGCTCAATGATCCTCTTACCTCAGCCTCCCAAGTAGCTGGGACTACAGGCACGTGCCACCACACCTGGCTAAATTTTGTTAATTTTTCTTTTTTTGTTGTTGTTGTTCTAGAGACGGGGTTTGCTGTGTTGCTCAGCCTGGCCTCCCTGGTCTCAAACTCCTGGGCTCCACCAATCCACCCGCTTTGGCCTCCCAAAGTGCTGGGGTTACAGCTATGAGCCACCACGTCTGGCCCGAACGTACTACCCCAGTGGCACGGGGGCAGCAGGTGACCTGGAGGCTGAGCCCACAGTGCCTCTGAGCTTTGCCACTTACAGGACTGGAAGGTGACCGCCCCTGATCGTCACCTCCCATTTGTGGCACCGCCCGTCTCACAGTGGGGATAGAGGCCGGCTGTGCTGGCCAAAGTGCTTGCTCACATGTCAGCTGTACCCAGGAGGGACATGCTTCCTAGCTGTACCTCTGGGCCTCAGAGTACTCACAGCGGGGGTGGCCACCGGTCTTGCTGTTTTCTGGGGCAGGTGGAGAGAACAGGGGACCCCATCTGAGGGAGACTGCTCCCCACCGCCATGGCAGGTCTTGGGCTTAATTTTCAGGAGGGCAAAGTGGTGCCTCCCAGCTCCCCGGCCCTGCGCCTGCGTCCTCCCTGAAGTGCGCATCCGCCGACTTGCCTTCCCCGCCTTGGGATCCAGGAGCTCCAGCAGGGGCTGGGCTGGGGGCTCTGTAAGCGGCGAGCTCTGTTCCCTGGGCACTAGTCCCTTTACTTCAGTGGGAGGTGGTGGGGTGGGAAGGGGAAGGAAGGGTTGCATGGGAGGGGACTGTGTGGGGTGATAAACTCAGGTGGGAAGAGTGCTTGCAGGAGGAGGGAGAGTGTAAGGAGGGACATGCCCCGGAGATTATGCTGTGGACTGAATCTTGTGTCCCAAAGTCATATGTTGAAATCCTAATCTCCAAGGTAATGGTGTTAGGAGGTGATTAGGGTATGAGAGTGGAGCCCTTGTGATGGGATTAGTGCCCTTAGAAAAGGGACCCCAGGGAGCTTTTTCACCCCTACGACCCTGTGAGGTTATAGGGAGAAGGCATCATCCATGAACCAGGAAACGGCCTCACCAGACGCTGAATCTGCAGGCGCCTTACAGCCTCCAGAACTGTGAGCAATACATTGTCCTTGTTTGTAGGCCACCCAGTCTTTTTTGCAAGCCACTGGTAGGTTTTCTTAGAGCAGCCCCCACAGACTAAATCTGTAAGCCATGCAATTCATAGTATTTTGTTATAGCAGCATGAACAGGCTAAGACAGGCCGTTTTGGTGAAAGAAGGTGGAGGTGATGGAGGAGGAGCTGAGAGATGCAGGCCCAGGTGTACTGGTATCTGCCTCCGCCACCCACAACACCAAAGGTGGAGACTCAGACCCTGCAGCCGCCTGTGGAAGGGTCACAATCCCCCGGGGCTCACTCCAGGCATTGTTTAGGACTATTAGGAGTGGCTTATTTCATAACTGAACACGCCTTTTTCTTCTTCCTGAAGAACCCCTATGGCCCCAGTCTTTTGAGCAGGCTGTCATCCTTTTATTTTTTTAAAAAAGGACTGTTATAAAAACCAACTATAGGTCAGGCGCGGTGGCTCACGCCTGTAATCCCAGCACTTTGGGAGGCCAAGGTGGGAGAATCACCTGAGGTTGGGAGTTGACGACCAGCCTGGCCAACGTGGTGAAACCTTGTCTCTACTAAAAATACAAAATTAGCAAGGTGTGGTGGTGCATGCCTGTAGTTCCAGCTACCCGGGAGGCTGAGGCAGGAGAATCGGTTGAACCTGGGAGGCGGAGGTTGCAGTGAGCCGAGATCGCGCCATTGCACTCCAGCCTGGGCGACAAGCGCGAAACTCCGGCTCAAAAAAAAAAAAAACAAGCCAATTATGCTCTCAAAAGGATCTCACTCTCCAACCCTCGAACACACACAGCTCCACAGTTAAAAGAAAGTCTCCCTGTACTCGCATCTCACCACCCCATCTAATCCCATGCCCTAGGATGTCAGTATTGTATGAGTGTAGTCTGTGTTCTGTCAGAGCTTTTGCTGTGCTTTAACATATGATACACATTTTAATTTTTACAGAAATAAAATAATGCATGGTATAAACACACTTTTAAAAATTGTTTTGACTTCGCAGTATAGGAGCACCATTCTCTGGCAGCCCAACCTAAATGAACCCCAGAGGCCCGGCCGTTCTTACTCAGAGACTGTTCAGATTTACACCAAAACGCCATCAAAGGAGTCAGAGAGGGAACTCTCCCCAGAGCTCCCAGCCCTCCCCTCCCCCTTCCTCTCCACCTTCCCATTTTTCTGTCTAGAGCTCTGGTATTTTTTCTTCCCTGCCTTCCTGGACCTCTTCCACATTTCTTTCCACACCAGTAGTTTTCACCCTTTCCGATGTAAGAGCCTTCTGGTTTGTTTCCAGCACTCTCTCACTCTGGTCTTTCTGTTCTTTCCCCCGGTCAGCCAGAGGGATGGCTGCAGTGACCAGCGCAGGCCCTTCCTTCAGGGGCAGAAAGGCAGAGGGTCCTCACACACTTAATATTCTGTGACTCTGCCACCCATTATAGCTTTTGTCACTTTAATAAACTTATCAGTACCTCTGATGTCTGCCGAATTTTTACAAACTTTTTATTAAAATGTAACCAGCTACAGGGCCGGGCACGGTGGCTCACTTTTGTAATCCCAGCACTTTGGGAGGCTGAGGCGGGCGAGACCAGCCTGGCCAACGTGGCAAAACCCCGTCTCTAATAAAAATACAAAAATTAGCTGGTTGTGGTGGCGCGTGCCTGTAATTAGTTGGTTGTGGTGGCAGGTGCCTGTAGTCCCAGCTACTCGGGAGACTGAGGCTCGAGAACTGCTTGAACCCGGGAGGCGGAGGTTGCAGTGAGCCAAGATTGTGCCACTGCACTCCAGCCTGGGCGACAAGAGTGAAACTCCATCTCAAAACAACAATAAAAAGATGTAACCTGCTACAAGCAAGAGCACATATCGTAAGTTTGCAGCTCACACCTGTGTCCAGGCCAAGAAACAGCACCTGGCCAGACCCCCACAGACTCCCCTAGTGTCCCCAGGGCACATAATCCCGATTTCTCACCTAAGAGACTGGTTCTGCCTGCATTTGAACTTCATATAGAAGCACGTGGTATGGATTCTTGTGTCTGCAATTCAGCATTGTTTGTGAGATTCATCTATGTTGCTGCATGCAGTTGAGGGTTATTCATTTGTGCATTGTTGTTGGGCATTTGGGTAGTAACCAGTTTTTGTCGTGAAGAGAGCTGCTGCGAACAATGTAGTATATGTCTTTCAGTGAACATACGTATGCATTTCTGTTGTGTACAAACCTTACAGCAGAATTGCTGGGCGTAAGGTATACATATGTTATGTTTAGTAAATAGTTCCAAATCTTCTGAGACAGAGTCTCACTCTGTCACCCAGGCTGGAGTGCAGTGGCAAGGTCTCAGATCACTGCAACCTCCACCTCCTGGGTTCCAGCGATTCTCCTGCCTCAGCCTCCCAAGCAGCGAGGACCACCACACCCGGCTAATTTTTGTATTTCTGGTAGAGACGGGGTTTCACCATGTCGCCCAGGCTGGTCTTGAACTCCTGGCCTCAAGTGATCCACCCGCCTTGGCCTCCCAAAGTGCTGGGATTACAGGCATGAGCCACTGTGCCCGGCCCCAAATCATTTTTGAAAGAGGGTGATAGTCCCACCCAGTGTGTTTGACAATTCCAGTTGCTCTGCATCCTCCCCAACACTTGGATTTTCTGTCTCTTTTCTTTTAGTTATTCTGGTGGCTTTGTAGGTCTGTTTTTGGATCTTTTTGCTGTTCTGTTCTATTTGTCTATCCATGTGTCGATACTGTTATTTTAATTCCCAAAACTTGATAGTTAGTATTGATAATAGAATAGAGGTTAGATTTTCAGGATTGCCTTGACTGTTCTCAGTCATTTGCACTTCCATAGAAAGTTTAAAATGTTTGACAATTCCCTTAAAAATAAAAAAGATAAACAGCCCTGCTGAGATTTTTAAAAATTATTTCTTTGTTTCATTTTTTGAGACAGGGTCTTGTTCTGTCCACCTAGGCTGGAGTTCAGAGACGTGAACATGGCCCGCTGGAGCCTGGACCTCCCAAGCTCAGGCGATCCTCCCACCTCAGCCCCCTGAGTAGCTGGGACCACAGGCACTCACCAACACACCTGGCTTCCTTTTGCAGAGATTTTTTTGTAGAGATGGAGTCTCACTGTGTTGCCCAGGCTGGTCTTAAACTCCTAGGCTCAAGCCATCCTCCCACGTCAGCCTCCCAAAGTGCTGGGACTGCAGGCATGAGCCACCACGCCCAGCCACCCTGCTGAGATTTTGAATGAGATTCATTGAATATGTATTAATTTAGACAGAGTGACATCTTTACACTCTTCAGGCCTCCGATTCATGAACATGGTATCTCTCTCCATGTATTTGAGTCTTCTTTAATTTTGTTTGATAATGTTTTATAGTTTTGAGAGTAGAGGTCTTACACATCTTTTATTAGATTTATTCTTAGAATTTAATTTTTTGTGTGTGAACTTGTGTAGATAGGTAAGAATTTAAATGTTGTGTGAATATTAAATAATAATATTTTTAAAATTTGCTTTCTGTTGGTGATGACTTTTCATGTTGGTCTTGTATCTAGTTACCTTGCCACATGTACTTGTTAATTCTAATATTTTTAGATTTTCCATGTATCTTCTACCATACCATCTATAAATAATTAGAGTTGTGTTTGTTCCTTTCCAATTCTTATGCCTTTTGTTTCTTTCACTTGATTAATTGATTGTCTAAGACCTTCAGTAGTGCTGAATAGAATTGGAAATAGCAGGCATCCTGGTTTCATAACTGAACTCAGAGGAAATATTAAAGGGCTTTTGTAAAAAGTGATGATTAGGTGTTACAGTTTGTCAAATAGTGTTTCTAAATTTATGAGATGATCATATGACTTTTCCCCCTTTTTTCTGTCAAAACAGTGCATTATATTAATTGATTTTTAGGATGGTAACCACGCTTGCATTCCTGGAATAAACGCCAGTTGGATGGGATATATTATTTTAATATGTTGCTGGATTCAATTTGCTAATCTTTTGTTTAGGATTTGCATCGGTCTTTATAGAAAGATGGTCTAATATGTGTTCTTCTGTGGTCCAGTTTTGGTATAAGGTTATGCTGGTCTCAGAACAAGTTGGGAAATGTTACCCCATTTCTATTCTCTGGAAAAAAATGTGTAAGGTTTAGTGTTGCTTTTTTTCTGAAGTGTTTGGAAGAATTCACTGGTGAAAATATCCAGGCCTAGAATTTTCTTTAGATTTTAAGTAATTAAGTCACATGTTTTAATAGAGAACTCTGCTTCATTATTTCTTTTTTTTCCCTTTCTTTCTTTTTCTTTTTTTTTTTTTTTTTTTTTTTGAGACAGAGTCTTGCTCTGTCACCCAGGCCGGAGTGCAATGGCGCAATCTCAGCTCACTGCAACCTCCGCCTCCCGGGTTCAAGTGATTCTCCTGCTTCAGCCTCTCAAGTAGCTGGGATTACAGGCACTGTCACCATGCCCAGCTAATTTTTGTGTTTTTAGTAGAGACAGGATTTCACCAGGTTGGCCAGGCTGGTCTCGAACTCCTGACCTCAGGTGATCCATCCACCTCGGCTTCCCAAATTGCTGGGATTACAGGCGTGAGCCACCGTGCTCGGCCTCATTATTTCTCATAACAGCTTTATTAAGATTGAAGTCAGACACCGTACGGTTCATCTGTTTAAAGTATGCAATTCAGTGGTTCTTAGAGTATACACAGAGTTGTGCAACCACTTCCACAGTTATTTTCAGAACATTTTCATTGCCCCACACAGAAACCCTGTCCCCTTAGCCGTTAACCCCTAAGCCCCTTCCTACAGGCCCTGCCAACCACGAATCTATTTAATTTCTCTAAAGCCTTGCCTTTTCCGGACATCTCATGGAAATGGAATCACACAACATGTGGCCTTTTTCATCCGGCTTCTTTTACTTAGTGTAATATTGTCAAGGTTCATTCGTGCTCTACTATGTATCCATACTTGATTCTTTTTTTATGGCTGAGTAATGTTCTGTTGTATGGCTACTCCACAGTGTGTTTATCCTTTCATCAGTTGATGGACATGTGGGTTTCCACTGTTTGCTTATTAGGCATAGTGCTGCCATGAACATTCTTGTACAAGTGTGTGTGGGAACATATGTTTTCATTTCTCTTGGGTAGATAGCTAGGACTGGAATTGCTAACTCACGTGCTTCATTATTTTTTATTGCTAAATAATAATAGGGATATACCAAAGCATATTTAACAGCTACCTTATTGATGGGCATTTAGTTGTTTAAGTTTGCTGTGAAACAGTGCTCCAGGCTGTGCTACTCAAAATGTGGTTTGCAAATGGATGCCAGCCCTTGAACTGTTTGTTATGGTTCTCTAACAAGATTAGAATAGAAATGGAGAATGTGTGGAAACTTTTATGAAAGCAATTTAAACAGTAATTTTATGTCTACTGAATCTAATTTTTTAATAAAATGGGCAAGTACTTTTATGTTTTTGGTTATTTAAATTTCATTTTTCTACCCCATCATTTTAGTGTATTTTATAAAAGCGTGGGTCCCTGACAAACTGGAAGTTAGAAAGATAAAAAAACAAGCAGCTTTTCACTCCAGTTAGGTAGAGAGGCGTTAAGTTTCTTCCAGTGTGAGCTTCTGCGGGAATCTGCCTAGAGGTGGAATGCCCAGCCCTGAGCGGTAAACGAGCCCTCTGGGGCTCTTGTGTGAGGAGGAGGGAGGAACATCTCCCCTTCAGCTCCTCTGTGCTCAGGATGATGATGAGCTGTAGCACAGATGAATAGACAAACAGAATGCAGCATATCCATACAATAGCATACGATTCAGCCTCAGAAAGGAAGGAAATTGTGGCACAGGCTGCAAACGTGGATGAATTCGACTAAGCCAGTCACAACAGGACGGATACTGTGTGATTCCACTCATAGGAGGTACCTGGGGTGAGTGCCAGGGGCTAGCCAGGGAGAACGGGGACAGCTTCTGTTTGGGAAGTTGAAGAGCTCTGGAGGCGGACGTGGTGATGGTGGCACGACAGTGTGAATGTACTTACCGCCACTGAGCCGTGCACTTGTGGCTGCCATGGGAAACGTCATGCCACGTATTTTACCACTTAAACGTCGTGCCGCGCACGTTTCACCACGTAAACGTCATGCCGTGTATATTTTACCACTTGCACACACAGTTTCAGTAAAGAAGGCGCCTGTCATGGCCTTGCCCTGTGGCTGGATGCTGCCCCACAGCCGCCTTCGGCAGACCGTGGTGTCCATTTTACAGAATTGTCACCCAGACAAGAGAGGGACAGGTCCGGCCCTCATGTCTGCTGAGTGGGGAGCCCATGCCAGCACCCCCTGCCACAGACTCCCTCTGAGGACACCCCTTGTCCTCCGTCAGTCCCAGGCATCTGTGGACACTGTTCTCCTCTCCTCGGTACTAGTTCTATGACCCAGGAAATATCGCTTGCCCTTCACCCAGCCCCACCCGGCCTCGGTTTCCCCATCTGTGAGCTGCTGAGGCCAGTGGTTTCTGACTCTGAGTGCTGGAGCTCTTTCTTCTGGCAGAATCTGAATACGACCCCGGGCCTCAGGCCCACACTGGCAGACCCTGAGGGTGCGGCAGGGAGGGGGCCTCGCAGGAACCTGATGGCACGTCTACAAGCCCCAGACCCCCCTAAGAGAAGTCTAGAGATGGGGACACGGGTGGTCAGGGGTGCTCCTCTCCCTGTCACCCCCGGCCTGTATGTGGGACCCCCTCCCTCTACGCCTTCCATGGAAATCATGTCACCCGCTGTGTTCCACAGCTCAGAGGTGTGAGGAGTCTGGCCCAGGCCAGTGCCGTATGTGTCTCTGGAAGGTAAGCAGGAGTGGACCGGAAGAGCAGAGGAGCAGCCGTCGGCGGTGAGGATGGGCCTGTGTGGCTCTGCAGGGTCAGATCCTAATGGCTGCTCCCAGTGCAGGCCCCGTGGTAGAACCATAAATCAGCCCAGGTGTCACCAGGGCCTGGGGCGGAGGGCTCAGTAGAGCTGTGGCTGCCAAAAGCTCACATCTGGCTCTCCAGCTCTGACCCAAATGTGCATCCTCCACCCCCTCAGCACATGCCCCACCTCCCCGGGAAACCTCTGGGCTGTCCCAGCCCCTCCCAGAGCCTCTGTAGGGTCATCATCGCTTTCAAGAATGGGACCGAGCCGCATAGGGATGCCCTCATCGCACCCTGAATGGGCCTGTGCAGCAGGTACCGGAGCTCAGGGCCTGGGACTCAGTGCTGTGGGCCTAGAAGTGTGAGGCCATCAGGCTTGGGAGGCTCCCAGCAGGCCTCAGACCTTGCAGGGGACTGAGGGTGACTGACTGCACCTGTCCATGGTCTGGATGATGCATCCGGTGATTGGTCCTTATTGTACAACCTGTAGACAGTGTGGACACTGAAGCAGAGGAAGCAGCCACACCTGGGACCCTGACATCAGATTCGGGCCCTGTGGGTTTTGTGAGCATAGCGAGGAACTGTGCTAGAGTTTCCCGGTGATGTGGTCGGGATGTGAGAGGCTCTCTAAGCCCCACTGGGGCTTTCCACGCCGGTCCATCCCCTGGTCTGTCAGGGTGCTGTTGTCTCCATCTCTTCGTGGTTCTCCCGTGAGGAGGCAGGCAGACCGGGGAAGCCACACTCCCCGAGCACCCCTGCGGCATGAGCCGCGTCCCCAGCCGAGGGTGACGACAACCTTGTGGGAATGGCAGTGAATTGTTCCTCAAAGGAGATTTCTGTATTGAAGGCCCATCCTCCGTAGTGGCTGCCTTGCTGGTGGCCTCAGAGCCAGGGACAGCCTCTGGCAGACCAGATCCCTGGGGACAGTTTCCACCTCAGAGGGTTGTCAGCATTTTACCTGGAGGAAGGCCCGGGGCCTGGCCCTTGCCCTGATGGGTCATGACCCTCTCGGGTCCTGGGAATCCAGGGGTCAGAACAGACAATGGCAAAAGGTGGCCGGAATCCCCTGACCAGGACCCTCACACTGGGCCAGGCACCTCCCTTGCCCCGCAGATAGGGCCTGACCTCAGGGCCACATGGCGGGATGCCCACCCTCTCACAGCCCTCTCCACGATGGGGCTGGGGACTCTGGCTCAGGTGAGCACTTGGGACCTCCTCTCTTGGCTCTGTGCACTTCGTGCTGGGCACACGGCGCCCTTCAGACAGGATGCAGGGTGATGGGTCTGCCTCCAGCTCCTGGAGTCACGTCCCACCCCTGGTTCTTTCCCAGTGTTTGCATGTTCCTGTGACCACGCCTTGTGTTTCTGTAGCCCAGGCTTCTGACCCTGGCCTGGAGGGGCTGAGGCACCAGGGTTCCCTGTGAGCCGCCAGCTGGGCCTCTGGGCTGCGCACTGCTGTTCTGTGCGTGGGAGAGTGATGCCTGGCATGCGGTATACAGAGCGCCTTCAGAGTCCTTGTCTTGTTTGGTGCTCACAGGAGCATGCTCAGCTTGTGGCCTTGCCCACACCCACGGAGTGCTGGAGCCAGAAGGGAGCTGTGTGTAACCGAGGCTTGGCAGCCTGTTGGAGTAGATAAGGAAGCCAGGGCTCTGAGAGCGTCAGGGCCTTCAGCATGAGTTCTGGAGTCAGAAGGAAGCTGTGGGCTGGGCACGGTGGCTCACGCCTGTAATCCCAGCACTTTGGGAGGCTGAGGCGGGCAGATCACTTGAGGTCCGGAGTTTGAGACCAACGTGGTCAACATGGTGAAACCCTGTCTCTGCTAAAAATACAAAAAATTAGCCGGGTGTGGTAGCAGGCGCCTGTAATCCCAGCTACTGGGGGGAGGCTGAGGCAGGAGAATCGCTTGAACACTGGAGGCAGAGGTTGCAGTGAGCCGAAATCACGCCACCGCACTCCAGCCTGGGCGACAAAAGTGAAACTCTGCTCAAAAAAAAAAAAAAAAGAAAAAGGAAAAAGAAGGAATCTGTGGATTTTAAGCAAAATTATGTGTAATAACCTCTTTTAGTCAACAGGAAAAGTGCTAGCTACCTGGTAGAGTTTTTATGGGGATTTAATGAGAGTGTGGGGCAGGGCCTGTACTGTAATCTGGTCGTGCACATGTGCTCTGTGCACTGTTTCTTTTCTGTTCTTTTTTGTTTTTTGGAGTCTTGCTCTGTCGCCCAGGCTGGAGTGCAGTGGCACGATCTTGGCTCACTGCAACCTCCGCCTCCCGGGTTCAAGCGATTCTCCTGCTTCAACCTACCGAGTAGCTGGGATTACAGGCATGAGCCACTATGCCCAGCTAATTTTTAGATTTTTAGTAGAGATGGAATTTCACCATGTTGGTCAAGCTGGTCTCAAACTCCTGACCTCGTGATCTGCCCGCCTTGGCCTCCCAAATTGCTGGGATTAACAGGTGTGAGCCACCGCCCTGGCCTCTGTGCGCTATTTCTGACTTGGCCAGTGAGCGATGGGGCTGAGCCCAGTGCCCCCTCCCTTACAACATGTGATGGACAGAGTTTTATGTCCCTGCGAATTCGTACAGCAAAATCCTCACCGTGAAGGCGGGGGTGTTGGGAGGCGGGGCCTTTGGAAGGTGGTTAAGTCATGACGGTGGAGCTCTCATGAGTGGCATTATTGCCCTTAGGAAATGAACCCCAGAAAGGCCTGTTTTTCCTTCCACCGTGTGAAGGTACAATAAGATGGTTGTCTATGAGGACTCAGACCCTCACTGGCCTCTGAGCCTGTGGCACCTTGATCTTGGACTTCCCAGCCTCCAGAACTGCAAGAAATAAACATTTATAAGCCACCCAGTCTATGGTATTTTGTTACCGCAGCCCCAGTGGCCTAAGGCATGCAGAATTTGGCCATCCAATATTAATGGAGAGACTGTCAGGTTATTTGTAGCCTGTGGGAGGCAGGACCTGAGAGTGATTTGAAGGAAGGAGAGAGAGAGTTTGCTGATACTGGACCAAACTCCAGTGTGGGAGGAAGTCTGTGTGTGGGGTTCACACTGGGTGTCCACTGAAGCCTCCCTAAGGAATGAGCTTCCTTTTCAATAGACGAATGATACAAAATATTTTTATATATTATATATTCCTTCAGTGGAACATTATTCAGCCTTAAAAAGGAAGGAAACGGCTGGGTGTGGTGGCTCATGCCTGTAATCCCAGCACTTTGGGAGGCTGAGGCAGGCGGATCACGAGGTCAGGAGTTCAAGACCAGCTTGTCCAATATGGTGAAACCCCATCTCTACTAAAAAATACAAAAATTAGCCGGGCGTGGTGGTGCACACCTGTAGTCCCAGCTACTCGGGAGGTTGAGGCAGGAGAATCACTTGAACCTGGGAGGTGAAGGTTGCAGTGAGCCGAGATCACGCCACTGCACTCCAGCCTGGATGACAGAGCGAGACCGTGTCTCAAAAAAAAGAAACTCCGACACATGCTACAACATGGATGAAGCTTGAGGATGTCATGCTGAGTGAAATAAGCCAGTCGCAAAGACACACACTGTAGCATTCCACTTCATGAAGCAGTTAGAGTAGTCCTGGAGAAGGAGTGGAGTCACGGTTGCCACGGGCTGAGGGAGTTATTCCATGGGCACAAAGTTTCCGTGTGGATGATGAAAACGTTCTAGCAACGGATGGTGGTGATGGTTGCACAACATTGTGAATGTACTTAATGCCAGTGAATTGTGCACTTAAGAATAGCTAAAATGGTAAATTTTATGCTGCATACACTTTACCGCAATAAAAAAAATAGTTTCATCTGTACAGCCTCAGAGCTTCCTAGTTCTCAGATCTCCAAGGTAGTCACAATCTCATTTTTCCTTAGAATCCCCTGTAGGGCAGGCATTTCCCCATCTTACAGACAGGGAAAGTGACTCTCAGAGGGGCTAAGTGATGCTCCAGCAAGGCAGGGGTTAAGGGAGAGAGCAGAGGAGCTTCCAGCCAGGGACCCCACAGCTCAGGGCTTAACCAACAGCTGTTGATTCCACACAGTTCTGAAGGCTGGGGGTCTGTGATCAGGGCCAGCGTGGTCGGGTTCTGGCGAGGCCTCTCTTCCTGGCTTGTAGGCAGCTGCCTTCTTGCCACATCCTCACGTGTCAGAAAGAGAAGCTGCTCTTGTCTTTCCTACCTCTTCTTGTAATGACCCAAATCCCATCACCGGGGCCCTATCCTCATCATTGCATGTATGCCTAATTACCTCCCAAAGCCCCGCCTCCAAATGCCATCATCACAGTTGGGATTAGGGGTTCAACACGTGCATTTTTCTGGGGAACACAACACCCAGTCACGGTGCCCATTCACTTGCATGTGTCCTTGGAAAAGTCTCTTAAATGCCTCAAGACTCAGTTTCCCCTTCTGTAAAATGGGAACAGTAATAGCCCCTCGCCTGTATGGGGTTTCTGTTTGACTCGAGTGAAGTGCCAGGTGCAGATGGCTCTGTAAGCTGCATCTTCTCGGGGCTCGGCTGAGTCTGTGTCTCTGGACTGTTGTTTCTTGGGGCACCTTGGGGGCCCTTGTAGCTGCATATGGGCAGCATTTGGTCCGAGGACAGTTCTGCTGCTCCCTTTCTTAAGGCTGCTCCTAAAAAGGCCACTTCCATCCCCAGGTTTTCAGCCACAAAATGAGCCTCTCCCAGGGGCCTTGCCCAAGACATGGTTACTAAAGTTTCCTCTTAATGACCTGATTGTTTCTAAGGAATAACCTGATTAAGTCAACAGGCTGGCAAACAATGTGCCTGGAGCACATCCCTCAGTTGGAGGCTCAGCTTTTCGATTCTGGATGGAGGTCACTCAGATCTTGGCTGGAACAGGACCAAAAAGGGGAGTCTCCGAGTGAGCTCTGCCCACGTCGGCAGATGGCACACCCCAGCCAGCCTGCACTCATGGGATGTGGCTGGTTGCATCTTTCCACTGGGGGCCACCCTGCATCTGGTTGTCAGCTGGGGGCTGTGTCACCTGTCATGTCTCACCCTTCTGAGGACTCAGGCAGCCCACCTTGAGTTTGGTGTTGTGGTTCGGTGACTCCAGGACTGAGAGGAGAACCAGGCTCCTCTCATGCTGCACTGGCCAGAGGGAGCGTGCAGGATGCCGGGGCAGGGATCGCTTAGAAGGCCGAGGATGGGCAAGGATGCACTCGCTCGCAGCAAGGGCAGCCTAGCAGGGCAGTGGGAAGCTCTCTCAGCTTGGCCCCTGGTAGTTACATCTCAGTTACATGGTTTTTGGCAACAATAACAAAATAAGTTGGAAAGACCACAGTAGGAACTTTGAATCCAGTGCAGTCTGAAAGCCATCCTATCCGTTGGGCTTGCATTTGGCTGCCGAGAACAGAATCCCTAACTTAAACACGGGGGGATTATCTTCTTGCAGGATGATAATTCCAGAGGCGGAAAGTCCGGGGCTGGTGTATCTGCTCAGGGGTGTTTCAGGATCCCAGGCTCTTTTTATCTTTCCATCTCTCCATCCTTAACAGGCAGACCTTCATCTTGACAGAGCTAGGTCAGGCCACAGGGGGTTTGGAATGAGAGTTGTGTCAGCCCCAGGCAGGTCATGCGGAGAGCACTAGATTTGCCATCAAGAGACCTGGGTTCCCACCCCACACTGGGTCATGTTAGGGCAAGTCGCTGCCATCTTCTGGACCTTTTCCCATCCCTCAAATGGGAGAGTTGAACTGTATTATCTCTACAGTCCCTTCCATCTTGTTCCCGTTACCTACTGCTGTGGTACAAATGATCCCAAAAGTTCATAGCTTAAAATGCTTATTTCAGCCAGGCACGGTGGCTCACACCTGTAATCCCACCACTTCGAGAGGCCGAGGCAAGTGGATTACCTGAGGTTGGGAATTTGAGACCAGCCTGACCCCATGGAAAAACCCCGTGTCTACTAAAAAATACAAAATTAGCCAGGCGTGGTGGCGCGTGCCTGTAATCCCAGCTACTTGGGAGGCTGAGGCAGGAGAATCTCATGAACCCAGGAGATGGAGGTTGCAATGAGCTGAGATCGCACCACTGTACTCCAGCCTGGGCGACAAGAGCAAAACTCTACCTCAAAAAAATTAATGCTTATTTCATTCATGAATCTTCTATTTCATTAGGGCTCAGCAAAGATAGCTGGTATCTGCTGACTCAGTGTCAGCTGGGAGGGAGGCTAGAACGAGGTTGGGGCTGGGATCCTCTGAAGGCTCGCTCACTCACCTGTCTGGCAGGTTACGCTGGATGGTGGCAGGGACCTCAGCCGGAGGGAGCTGTGGCTGCAACATCTACACCTGGTCTTTGGTCTGGCTGCTTGGCCTCCTCACAAATTAGCCACTGGGTTCTAAGTGTGAAGGAGCTGGGAGGAGGCTGCATCGCCTTTCCTAAGTGGCCCGGGAAGCCATGCAGTATCACTGTGTCACTTTCTCTTCATTAGAAGCAAGTGATTCTGTCTGGCTCATATTCAAAGGGGACAGAAGTTAGACTCTGCCTTTTTTTTTGAAACAGGTCTTTCTCTGTCACCCAGACTTGAGTGCAGTGGCATCAACTTGGATCACTGCAGTCTCCACTTTCCAGGGTCAAGTGATCCTCCCACCTCAGCCTCCTGGGTAGCTGGGACTACAGGCACGCACCACTGCACCCGGCTAATCTTTTTTATTTTTAGCAGAGACGGAGTCTTGCCATATTGCTCAGGCTGGCCTTGAACTCCTGAGCTCAAATGATCCTTCCACCTCAGCTTCCCAAAGTGCTGGGATTATAGGTTGAGCCACCACACCTGGCCCACACTCTGCCTTTTGATGGGAAGAATCTCAAAAGATGTGTGGACCTGCTTAAAACCGCTGTGCATCTGTAGGTTTCAAATTCAGTGTTCCTATTCCTTCACGCTGATTTTCACTATTCCAGAATTCAACAGAGGCTAGACTTCTCAGGGCAAGACCGTAGAAAAACTGTTATGGAACAGGCTTTATCAGATAGGCCTGACTGCTAGAGCGGGATCTTCCTTCGTCTTAAAAGTAAACAATACCTGGTTGATTTTGAGAGATGCTACCTTACAAAACAAGACTTTGAGAGTCATTATACAGCAGTGTTTGAAAGGTACACTATGATCACAGTTCATCCACACGCTTCTACTGGCCCTTTCTTGTGTGCCTGGCACCATGCTGGACACGAGGAGTTTAAATCAGGCCTGAGGTCTGGCCCCACTCACGGGAGATGTGTAGTTTCGCTGGGGAGACAGAGGCCTGGGAGCGCTTCTGCCTGTGAAGTCAGCGGTGCCTGCTTTCAGTCTATGCCCCTCGTGTCCACTCTGGGCTTGGCACAGAGGGACCGTCTGTCCCTCTATTGGTCAGTGACAGAAACTTAACTCTGAGTGGCATGACAAAATAAAGCAAAAAAATGAATTTTGTTTGTTTGATTTTGGTTTATGTAACTAGAAAGGCCACGGGTAGATTTCTCACTTCAGGCATCACTGGGTGCCAGGACTGAAGGGAGATTCCTCCCTGCACCTCAGTGTTACACAGTTGCACTTGGGGCCCCAAGAAACCAGGCGTCTGATGGTCACGCCACGTGCAGTTCCCTCCCACACTGACTCTGGGCTTCACGCCACGTGCAGTTCCCTCCCACACTGACTCTGGGCTTCACTGTGATTTGTCTGGGCCAACTGGACACTAGCAAGTGTGATACAAGTAGAGGCTGGAGGAGCCGCTTGCTCATTATGGTTGTCCTCTTGCAACACATCCTCACGGAATCCAGCCACCCAGACGTAAAGAAGCCCAGGGCTAGACTGTCGGCTGAAGAGACGCCACATGGAGAGAGTCCTTGGACGACAAGGCCATATCAGACATTCCAGACATCTTAGATAACTCCCTAAGGAGAACAGCCGCGAGGGACCTCAGCCGTAGCTCTGCGGAGCAGAACCGCCCAGCCCTGCGAGGCCATAGAATCCTGAGAAACAATACATTGATGCTTTAGGCCACTGAATTTTGGGTCATGTTGTTTTGAGGTGATAGGTAACTGATACACCGTCTCTAAGCAGTGGCAAGACAGCTGCCAAGAACTCTGGGATCAGAAATCCCAGTGGACACAAAACACCTCTTCCCTTCATTTCGGGAGAAGTGCAAGCATTGAGGGATGGACTCACTTGTTTTATTGAGATGGAGTTTCACTCTTGTTGCCCAGGCTGGAGTGCAATGGCGCGATCTCAGCGCGTCGGAACCTCCGCCTCCTGGGTTCAGGCAATTCTCCTGCCTCAACCTCCCGAGTATCTGGGATTACAGGCACGTGCCACTATGCCCTGCTAATTTTGTATTTTTAGTAGAGATGGGGTTTCTCCATGTTGGTCAGGCTGGTCTCAAACTCTGACCTTGTGACCCACCCGCCTCGGCCTCCCAAAGTGCTGGGATTACAGGCGTGAGCCACTGCGCCCGGCCTTGACTCACATTTAATGAGTGCAAGTCACTTGCTCATCTTGGAACTCATCACTGTGGCCAGGGAGTGAAGACCAGCCCAGAGATGTGTGCCCATCCCTGAAGCGAGTGGGGAGTGGGGTCAGTCCCACTGAAACCTGTGACCTGGGATGAGGGAAGGCAGGGAGAAAAATGAGGCTGTCATTAGCAGAAAAGGGGGCAGCGGAGACAGCAGAAACCACCACAGGTCTCCCCTGTAGGGAGTGTGTGAGATGGTGAAAGGGTGAATGAGTGATCGTGAGTGGGCTTAGGTGAGGAAGAGCTTTAATGAGGGCTAATATTTAAGCCAGGACTTGTCACAGGTGAGGGGCAAGGGTTTCCAGGAGGTGAGCAAGCTGAGGGGTAGAACAGGTGGCAGGAGGCCAGAGGCGGGGACTGGGGCAGTCCCAGTGCCCAGGGAGCAGGAACCGCATCTGAGGTGCACAGATGTCACAGCCAAAAGCCCCGGTATTTGCCAAAATGCCAAATGTGTTCTAGGCCTTCCCCTTGAATGTGAAATTCGGTTTTATTTTAAGAAAAGTGTCCAGGTGTTTCTGATTCATGTACACTTAAGTCATCCTTTTGTGTGTGTGAATGTGGGGAGCTATTTCATGCCAAGAAATCCTGGAAAGGTTTTATCTTGGCATTTTCCATTTCGGGCTGTATCTGAGGAACAAGACGCTGCATTTGCCTGGGGCCAAGCCCATCAGGCTTCCGCCAGGTTTCCAGTATCCAGGCTGCAGGGAGCCTGGCAGGGGCGTGGGCAGGGGCGTCTGAGTGGCAGCTTGTAGTGGAAGGCAGTGGGGTCCCCGGGAGCACACACAGCATGCACTCAGGGCTGACTGAGGTTGTGCCCCACTGGGGATGTGCAGTTGTCTCCAGGTCTTGGCAGAGGCCACCCCTCCCCTGGCCCCTCGTTGGTAACCGAGTCATGAGGACAGTTTGTACGTGGTGCTGTGCCCAGGCAAGCTTGGGACACACCATCCACCCGGGCCAGCCGCTTCCTGGAAATAGAACCTGAGCAGGAGACGTTCTCTTAGAAGGCTGCGGGGTGCCTGGAGGCCCCTTGGAGCTGGCAGAGCCCCAGGGAAGAGAGATGAGGGGGTCAACCGCTGATCTCAGGACAGACAGATGGAAAAGGCCAAGGCTCTTCACATAGAAAGTCAGGAGGCTGCAGGGACGGTGTGGAAACATCTAGACCCCGGCTCCTTCACCCCAGCACAGAAGGGAGAGCTCTCAGGGCGAGGGTGAGTGTCAGTCAGCTCAGACCAGCCCCAGGTCCAGCACTTTTGCTGCCAGCATGCCTGGTGCTGTCCCCCACTCTCCTCACCGAGGGCCCCCCGCCTTGCTGCCTCCCTGAGCCCTGCTTGTCCACACCCATCTGGGCTCCACTTCTGGGGTCCAACTTCCCCCTTTTTTGACTTGGATTTGACCCCCTTCAACACCAAGTGCCCTGCAAGATGTGGCTTGGCTTCCGGACTCAGCTTCCCCCTCCCCGTCCTGGCTGTAATTGGCCTGGGCCCTCTCCTGCCTACCACGGCACCCTGGGGTGCTAGGACAAAGGAGGCCGTCTTTTTGGAAGGCAGCGGTTTGAATGAGTAAGGATAGGAACAGTTTCATACGGCAGTTAATGGAATAAACAGGAGTGCAGGAGCGTGCGATGGACTCATTCTTTCACCCTTACAGCTGCCATTTATGGAGCCCCATGTCTGGATAGCAGAGGAGTGAGGCTGAGGGAACACTGGGGGCTGTAGTCTGAGTTTGAATCCACATTCGGGGCTCAGGTCCTTTGTGGCTTGCCTGAACCCCCTCTATCCTTGGCCCAGCAGTGGAAACACCCCATTGTAGACTCGCTAGCCCCTCTCTTCCCCCAAGAAGCTCCACGGCAGCATCAGACTCTTTTTATTGCAGATGACAGAAACATGACTCAAACTGGCTTCAGCCAGTTCAAAGAGAATTTACTGGGCTCTGGAGTTTACTGGTTTCAGGAGCCGCAGATGCCCTCCTGGTGGGCTTGCTCGCCTCTGGGTTCTGCAGTCCTGTGTGTTGGCCTCATTCTCAGGCAAACACTTCCCCACCAGGCCCATGTCCTTCTCGCTCAGCATGCCAGCAGAGTCCCATAGAGGACGTTCCCTGGTCCAGCCACAGCTACATGTCCCGTGAGCCTGTCACTGTAACTGAGAGGGTGTGGGGCTTTGCTTGGCCCCCCAGGTCAGGGGATAGAGTCAGCTCCCTGCAAACCCACATGGGCTGATCCAGGCAAAGGGGCAGTTCCCGGGGCAGCCAGAAGGGTACTACTGGAAGTATGGGAAGGATTTTGGAAAGGCAAAACCCACAGGAGTCGACCCCAGGGCCTACTCTCTCCCACATGCCTTTCCTGCTCATTCCCTGGCCCTCTGCCCTCTCTCCTTCAGGAAGCCCTCTTGGGTTACTGCAGCCCTTGTGCTTTCTTCCTTCCCAGCACTCCGAGGACACTCGCCTCCGCTGGGCCTGCCTGTGCAGTGCTGACTACCTCAAGCTGTTACCATCTTCAAGTTTGTATGAGTTTGCTTTCCCTCTAGAGGTATATGGAGGTCTTGAGGTCAGGCCTGTGTTCCTAAGGCAGCTGATGAGGTGTAAAGAGTTTTGGGCTCTTCTCCAGTGCTTCTGGCCTAGGCCGTGCTTTGCCTGTGGATACAT
Source organism: Homo sapiens (assembly GCF_000001405.40). Taxonomy (NCBI): domain Eukaryota; kingdom Metazoa; phylum Chordata; class Mammalia; order Primates; family Hominidae; genus Homo; species Homo sapiens. The sequence goes on along the minus strand of NC_000005.10, from coordinate 178,525,837 downwards.
TTTACCTGATCTTCATTTTTCATGTTAATGAAGTTTTTCCTATGAGCCTTGGACACATTATCTTTTTCCATTTTGCACTGAGTGTTTTAGATAAAGCCTTCGGGTCCTGGGGTCTGCGCGCTGTGTCGCCATTTCTTACCAGCCATGTGAGCTTAGCCTTCGGGTCCTGGGGTCTGCGCGCTGTGTCGCCATTTCTTACCAGCCATGTGAGCTTAGCCTTCGGGTCCCGGGGTCTGCGCGCTGTGTCGCCATTTCTTACCAGCCATGTGAGCTTAGCCTTCGGGTCCCGGGGTCTGCGCGCTGTGTCGCCATTTCTTACCAGCCATGTGAGCTTAGCCTTCGGGTCCCGGGGTCTGCGCGCTGTGTCGCCATTTCTTACCAGCCATGTGAGCTTAGCCTTCGGGTCCTGGGGTCTGCGCGCTGTGTCGCCATTTCTTACCAGCCATGTGAGCTTAGCCTTCGGGTCCCGGGGTCTGCGCGCTGTGTCGCCATTTCTTACCAGCCATGTGAGCTTAGCCTTCGGGTCCTGGGGTCTGCGCGCTGTGTCGCCATTTCTTACCAGCCATGTGAGCTTAGCCTTCGGGTCCTGGGGTCTGCGCGCTGTGTCGCCATTTCTTACCAGCCATGTGAGCTTAGCCTTCGGGTCCCGGGGTCTGCGCGCTGTGTCGCCATTTCTTACCAGCCATGTGAGCTTAGCCTTCGGGTCCTGGGGTCTGCGCGCTGTGTCGCCATTTCTTACCAGCCATGTGAGCTTAGCCTTCGGGTCCTGGGGTCTGCGCGCTGTGTCGCCATTTCTTACCAGCCATGTGAGCTTAGCCGAGTTATTTAACCTCTTGTTGCCCTAGTTTCTTTCTTCATCTTAAAATGAAAACACGTAGCATAAAGAGTTACGCAGTTTAGGTGGGTGGTGCGTGTGTAAATGGAGTCCCGCAGAGTGCTGGGCTCCCAGACAGCTGTTGAATGAATGAATGACTGCATTGCTGCGTGAGTGAGTGAGCGAGTGTGTGAGTGAGTGAGTGATCTGTGGGTCTGTTGTGGAGCCACATGGCCTGTTAGGGCTCTAGACAGGGGCCCTTATGAAAAAAGAAGGCCCTGCTTCAGGGGCATAGGAGGCGTCAGGCAGGCAGCAGGGCAAGAGCCAGCCCTGCCTCGGGTCAGCGTGGCCTGGAAGTTGGCCAGGTCTGCAGGAGAATGGGCAGGTGTGGCCAGGTGGTCCATGGGGGAGGAGGCTGGTACAGGCCAGAGCTGGTCAGGTCAATGCCCGACCATTTCCAGGACCTTTGCCTGTGCTGAGCATGGGTTATTTTTTTCTGGATACATCCATCCCCCATCCTTTCTGTGACAGTTCCCTGATTTCCCTTTGGGTAAAGCCCCTACCCCATTCCCAAGCTATGTATCTTGGGATGGGCTGACCCCACCACCAGGCTCTGCTGATACCCATGTGACCCAGTTATTCTCATAAGAGACAGATTCTAGGATTTTCCTGGAACTTCTGAACTAGAGAGGGTCTCTTTCCACTGGGGAGAGCGGGCAGGATGTGGTCTGGAGCTGCGGGGGGCCACAGTGTGAAGAGGGCTCCCCTGGGAATGAAGCCAACATGGAGGAAACAGAGCTGACAGATGGGGAAGGAGAGAGCCCTGGTGATGTTATTGGAGTGCCTGGATCCAGCCAGACCTGAATCTTCCTGGATTTTTCAGTCAAGAGGGGCAGTACGTTCTCTTTGTTATTTAAGCTAGCGTGACCCAGGTTCTGACCCTTGGAGATAAAGGTCCTGGCTGATACACCAGAGACCCTCCCGTATGACACAGAACCAGTGTCCCCGCAGACGCTCATTCCTGTGGAGGTTTGTATTTTTGAAGTCCTTGTCAGAGATCATGAAAAGGAAGGGTCGTAGATAGGAGAGGTCTCAGGAAATAGTGGTTGCAGTGAGTGACAGCCGTGTTCAGAGCCCAGGTAGTGTAACTTGCCTCTCCCCGTGTAACAGCTCAGGTTGTGTTGTGGCTGCGTCCCAGCAGTGATTCTTGGGAGAACAAGGATGTCAGAATCTGGAATGTGCGTTGCCTGCATTGAGCAGAGTCTCCTTCCAATTGTTCATCATTCCGGGTTTCAATGAATTTTTTTCAGAGTGTGCAGGTTTACATATGCTGTTCGGTTGGTGATGGAAACACTTACGGCCACTGATAAAGCAATAAATGAAAGGAAATGACAGGAAAGCACCATCCTCGAGCTTCCATGGACACAGAGATGAAGATTTCCATCTGTGGCTAGACAGGCGCAGAGCTTTGGAGGTGCTCCTGGCCCGTCGGTTCCCAGTGACGTGTCTTCAACTCCAGGCCGTGTAGATTGCTCAGAACTTGTGCACATCATAGAGGTTTCTCTTTCTTTTTCTTTTTTTTTTTTTTTTTTTTTTGAGACAGAGTTTCGTTCTTGTTGCCCAGGCTGGAGTGCAGTGGAGCAGTCTCAGCTCACTGCAACCTCCTCCTCCCAGGTTCAAGCGATTCTCGTGCTTCAGCCTCCCAAATAGCTAGGATTACGGGCGCGCACCACCACACCTAGCGCTCTCTCTCTCTCTCTCTCTCTGTCTCTCTCTCTCTCTCTGTCTCTCCCTCTGTCTCTCTCTCTCTCTCTCTCTCTCTATATATATATATATATATATGTGTATATATATATATATGTATATATATATATATATATTTTTAAATAGAGACAGAGTTTCATCATGTTGGTCAGGCTGGTCTTGAACTCCTGACCTCAGGTGATCTGCCTGCCTCAGCCTCCCAAAGTGCTGGGATTACAGGCATGAGCTACCACGCCTGGCTGGAGTTTTTTTACATTCAGTTCTGGACATAGATGGGAGGCTGGGCCAGAGAAATAGAGTATAGGGCAGGGGATGCCCAACTCATTCCCGAAATGATCTCTGTGTTAAAATTGTACCATAAAGCCACGCTTGGGGTCCATAGCATCAAGGTGGATCTTCTTATCAGAGACTGGGGGGAGACTTGAATGGGAAGGATGCCCTCGGGCAGAGCTCACTGGCAGTCCCCGTAGGCCACGTCTGGTCCTGGGCAGTGCTCTTGTATGGGTGCTTAGCGCTTTCTTGGATCACATCTTTTGGTGTTGGTCCTGTCATCAGACTGTGGGAGGATCACAGACAGCGCGTCTATCGTGCCCTCCACCACTGTCCCCGTTGTCCTCAGATACAAGCGCATTGCCTGCCCTTGGGTACATTCTTTCTCCAGTGACCCCCTTGCTTCATTACATGTGCTGACCACCGGCTCGTCACAATCTCGGGCAGGCACAGTTGTGGGCTGAGGGCAGCTGTGGATGGTTGACTGGGGTTAGCATTTGTGCAGCTTTTGAACAATCTCTTGGCTGAATGGGGAAGCGTGGCGAGTTATTCCCCGGTCCTAGGGTGTGGTAGATGACTTCTCCTGTTGCTGTGATGTCTGTGCGGACTGGGACTCACGTGGGCTAAATATGTATGTCTTCATTTGAGAGGACCAAAACACGATTCTAAGGTTGGTTGTTTTCCAAAGGCAGTAACTCGCCTGGTTAGTTTTTCTCTTTTTCCTCTCTCCTGCCCCCAAATTACATAAAGCAAAACATCCAGGTCGTTTCCAAATTTCATTTCATAAACCGAAAACACGTTTTAGGTCTCAAGGGGCAAAAGACACCTTCATCCAGTTAACTCGGAAAGTTTTTAATGTTTATATGGCACAAAGTTCTTTCTTTTTTTAGACAGACTGGAAGAATCCTTCCTTTGCTAAGACCTTATTCTTTTTCTGGTTTGTTTGAAATTTTTTTGTTGTTGTGGTAAAAAATACATAACATAAAGATTACCATGCTAGCCATTTGAAGGGTACAATTTGGTGGCATGAATTACATCCCCAATATGTTGTGCTACCATCACCACTACGTATTGCCAAAATTTTCCATAACTCCAAACAGAAACTGTGTAACCATTAATAAATAACTCCCTTTATACCCCTGACCCCAGCCACTGGTAACTTCTTAACTGCTTTGTCTCTGTGACTGTGCCTAGACTAGATATTTCATATACATTGAATCATAAAATAAGTAGCCATTTGTTTCTGACTTTCACTTAGCATAAGGACTTCAGGGTTCATCCATGTTGTAGCATCCATCAGTGCTTCATTCCTTTTCATGGCTGAATAATATTCCATTGCATGGTTAGACCACATTTTGTTTATCCATCCATCAATTGATGCACAGTTTACCTCATTCTTAAATGTTGGCTTTAAATAGTTTTTTTTTTTTTTTTTTTGAGATGGAGTCTTGCTCTGTCACCCAGGCTGGAGTGCAATGGCGCCATCTCGGCTCACTGCAAGCTCCGCCTGCTGGGTTCACACCATTCTCCTGCCTCGGCCTCCCGAGTAGCTGGGAATACAGGCGCCTGCCACCACGCCCGGCTAATTTTTTGTATTTTTAGAAGAGACGGGGTTTCAGCGTGTTAGCCAGGATGGTCTCCATCTCCTGACCTCGTGATCCACCTGCCTTGGCCTCCCAAAGTGCTGGGATTACAGGTGTGAGCCACCGCGCCCGGCCAGCTTTAAATAGTTTTAGCGAGTAAATGTAATAAAGTCATGTGCCCCATAACCACATTTCAGTCAACGATGTACCACATATATGATGGTGGTCCCGTAAGATTATAATACCATATTTATATGTTTAGGTATGTTTAGATATATAAATACTTTCACCACTGTGTTGCAATCATCTATGGTATTCAGGACAGTGACAAGCTGTGCTGGTTTTGTAGCCTGGGGGCAATAGGCTACACCACGTAGCCCAGTGTGTAGTAGGCTCTGCCACCTAGGTTTGTGTAAGTACATGCTATGAAGTTCACACAATGACAAAATCACCTAAGGACACATTTGTCAGAATACAACCCTGTTGTTTAGTGACACAGGACTGTGACTTCCTCTAAATTATTCCTATAAATTCTTTGTTTCCTAATACCGTCTGGACAACTGAATGGAATGAAATTAAACTAACATTGATGGATTGTTTGCTATAAACCAGGCTGTATGCTGGGGTCGTGCACAGAGTGTTATCTCATTGAATCCTCACCAGCATGGTAGGAAGTGGATCGCCTGACCTCATTTTACAGATGGAAACACTTAAGCTTCACTTAAGGAGAAGGGATTTGCTCAAGGTCACATAGCTAATATGTGGCTGGGCTGAAATTGGAACCCTGGTCCACCTCACTTCTGAACACATGTGCTCCCCTCCTGTCTGCTTTGTCTCATTGATCATGGATGGGGCAACCTGGTTCATGGCTTTGTCACATTGAGAGATGTTTCACAGGTGCTTTCTTCCCAAACACATCGACAGAGCCCTGAGCCCTGGTCCAAAATGGCCTAGCTTTTGTCCTTTGGCCTTAGTAGCTTCCGTATCAGTTCTTCAGTGATGAGGAGAACATGTAGGAGTCGTATGAGGTGTTGGTGCAGTTCCGAAGGGGTCTTGGAGGAACTGATAGATCTGTCTGCAGTACAGTTGGGGAACCAATGACTGGCTACCTCCACCGAGCCTCTGCTCTGGCAGCAAAGTCAAGGACTGTCCAATCTTACTAGTCACACACTGATTCCTTCCCAGTCTTCCCTCCTTCCTTACCAGCCATCCATCCATCCTTCGATGCATTCACCCGTCTGACCATCCAACATGCATCTGTCCAACCATTCAGATGCATCCATCCATCCATTTATCAGACCATCTATCCATCTAACCATCCTCCATCTATCCATCCATCCATCCATCCACCCATGCATCTGTCCATCATCTGACCATCCATTCACCCAACTCTCTATCCATCTGACCATCTTCCATCTATGCTTCATCTGTCCACCCATGCATCTGTCCATCTATCCATCATCCTTTCATCCAACCATCTGTCCATCTGACCATTCATCCATCCATCTACCCATGCATCTGTCCATCATCTGACCATCTATTCACCCAACTCTCTATCCATCTGACCATCCTCCATCTATCTGTCCATCTATCCTCCCATGCATCCATCTATACATCATTCATTCATTCAACCAATAACCACTACACCAGACAATATTTATCACAGGCCTGGTGGCTGCTATGTCCTGTGCTAGGCTCTTAGATACAGTGATGGGCAGCACCAGTGACCAGTGAGACAAACATCCTTTAACACAGGCAGACAAGGGTTTGCAAACTGACACCTGTGAGATGCATCCAGCTAGGAAAATGTCTCAAAAATCAGGAAAATTTATTTTAAAATCATGATTTCTGGCTTCTCTTGGAAAAACTGGGAGATCAGACCACACAGGGCCCAGTTTTCCACCTGGCAGTCCCTGTCAGAATTGTGTGGCATTGTGCAGGGCGCGGCCACTTGTTCCCCACAGCCTGATACTCCCTGCTGTATTGCTCCTGGACCCTTCATGGACGCACATTGTGTGCCTGGTCATGGGAGACTTGTGAGTCTGCACACCCCACAGCAGCTGGGTTTGCAGCAGCCATTGGCTTTATGGCCTGTGAAGGTAGACAGGGCACTGGCCTCCCGGTCTGAGGCCTGGGCTCTGTGCTGACAACGTTCTGCCCCTGAGCCCACAGTTTCCTCATCTACAAAATGGGGCTGCGGGCAGAGAGGGAAGATGATAAAATTGGTGAAAAGGACTGCAGACTACAAGATGCTGTTCAGCAGAAAGAACTGCTGTTGAGAAGGCTCGAAGGCGCCGCGGGCTGGGGTCGGTGGCTTAGGGAGCCCGTCCGGCCATGGTGGCCGCGGGTGGTGGTTGGCGCGGCTGCGCTGCGGCCCGGGGCAGTGCGGAGCCGGGACAGTCGCGGCGCTGACGCCCGCGGGCCCCAGCTGCAGATATGAAGCGGAGCCGCTGCCGCGACCGACCGCAGCCGCCGCCGCCCGACCGCCGGGAGGATGGAGTTCAGCGGGCAGCGGAGCTGTCTCAGTCTTTGCCGCCGCGCCGGCGAGCGCCGCCCGGGAGGCAGCGGCTGGAGGAGCGGACGGGCCCCGCGGGGCCCGAGGGCAAGGAGCAGCCGCCTGCCTTGGCCTCCCAAAGTGCCGAGATTGCAGCCTCTGCCCGGCTGCCACCCCGTCTGGGAAGTGAGGAGTGTCTCTGCCTGGCCGCCCATCGTCTGGGATGTGAGGAGCGTCTCCGCCCGGCCGCCATCCCATCTAGGAAGTGAGGAGCGTCTCTGCCCGGCCGCCCATCGTCTGAGATGTGAGGAGCGCCTCTGCCCCGCCGCCCCATCTGGGAGGTGAGGAGCGTCTCTGCCCGGCCGCCCCGTCTGAGAAGTGAGGAGCCCCTCTGCCCGGCCAGCCACCCCGTCCGGGAGGTGAGGGGCGCCTCTGCCCGGCCGCCCCTACTGGGAAGTGAGGAGCCCCTCTGCCCGGCCACCACCCCGTCTGGGAGGTGTGCCCAACAGCTCATTGAGAACGGGCCAGGATGACAATGGCTGCTTTGTGGAATAGAAAGGCGGGAAAGGTGGGGAAAAGATTGAGAAATCGGATGGTTGCCGTGTCTGTGTAGAAAGAAGTAGACATGGGAGACTTTTCATTTTGTTCTGCACTAAGAAAAATTCCTCTGCCTTGGGATCCTGTTGATCTGTGACCTTACCCCCAACCCCGTGCTCTCTGAAACATGTGCTGTGTCCACTCAGGGTTAAATGGATTAAGGGCGGTGCAAGATGTGCTTTGTTAAACAGATGCTTGAAGGCAGCATGCTCCTTAAGAGTCATCACCAATCCCTAATCTCAAGTAATCAGGGACACAAACACTGCGGAAGGCCGCAGGGTCCTCTGCCTAGGAAAACCAGAGATCTTTGTTCACTTGTTTATCTGCTGACATTCCCTCCACTATTGTCCCATGACCCTGCCAAATCCCCCTCTGTGAGAAACACCCAAGAATTATCAATAAAAAAATAAATTAAAAAAAAAAAAAAAAAAAAAAAAAAAAAGAACCGCTGTTGCTGGCCAGGCACGGCGGCTCACGCCTGTAATCCCAGCACTTTGCGAGGCTGAGGCGGGCGGATCACGAGGTCAGGAGATCGAGACCATCCTGGCTAACATGGTGAAACCCCGTCTCTACTAAACATACAAAAATTAGCTTGGCGTGGTGGCACGTGCCTGTAATCCCAGCTACTTGGGAGGCTGAGGCAGAAGGATCGCTTGAACCAGGGAGTTGGAGGTTGCAGTGAGCTGAGATCATGCCACTGCATTCCAGACTGGGCGACAGAGTGAGACTCCATCTCAAAAAAAAAAACAAAAAAAAAACTGCTGTCACCGAGAGTCTGAGCCCTAAGAGAGAGTTGAGGGAGAGAAGGGAACCTGTCGTGAGGCTAAGGTGTCATTAGGTTGGATTTAACAGACTCTCCTGTTAGCATCCTTCCTGCACACTGCCTAGCACTGTTAGTGACAGGGACATGGGCCCTCTCCCTCCACAGTGCCCGTGTATAGACAGATCTCAGGGGAGCATTCTAAGCCCTTCCACTGTGCCTTTGGTGTGGGGCTATTGCTTTTTTCATTTCTCACACGCCAGTTAGGGATACAGGTTTGCTTTTATCCACTTATCCATCCCTTTAACAAATCTTTGTTAAGCCACATGTTTGCCAGGCACTGTTCTAGACATTGGGAATACAATAGTGGAATAAGACTGACAGCTGTTAGGGGCTTGCAGTTCCTTGGTATGGCTCACCATGCCTTGCTGGGCACTTCTGTCTGTTTCTTGGCTGTGGGCAGGTGGCGGATGGATGGGAGGATGGATGTGGTTGTGGCAGCACCCCGCAGCCTGGAGGCCCCGTCCCCACTGAGTCCTGGCCCAGTGTGTTGATGTGGAGGCATGCCCACCTCAGTGACAGGCGCTTTCCACACACAAAGCCACAGATATTGCAGCTTTCTGCGCAGGAAGCCCGCTCCCACCAGCTACTGGTCGCACACACAGCCCGTAATGTACCCTCCTCCTCTTATTTAACTACTGATTAGTTTGCTTCAGGATAGGTGTGAGGTGCAGGGATCATGGGGTGGACAAGGTGGGCACGGTCCCTCAAGGAGCATCTGGGGAGCCTGGGGGAGACTAGGAGGGGCACCCGCCAGGCCTGAGGAGGCAGAAAGCTTCCAAAGGGAAGCAACACCTGAGTTAAGAAAGGAAAAGGCAGGAATTGGCAAGTGGATAAATGCACATCTTCTCTAGTCAGACCAAACAGTACGTGGAAAGAGACAGGGCCTGGCGCGTTCCAGGAAATAAGATTTCAGCACGGTTAGAAGGTTGAGTTTATGCCTGGTGGTGGCAGGGGGCTGGGGAGGGGACAGGTCAGGGATGCTTGGAGGGAATGCCGGAGAGGAGGGGAGGAGGCACACCGGTGCTCAGAGCCTCTGTCCTTTCACACTGTGGTCAGGAGAGGTGAACTTAAAACCAGAGAGATCTGGCAGAGAGCCGTCATCGGGCAGCGCCTTTGGGCACGTTGGCATCTGAGCTGGGTGCGGGTGGGATGTTAGGAGGCCAGGCCTCAGTGGGGCTGTGGGCGAGGGCCAGCCTGCTCAGCCTCTGGGTACCAGAGACGCAGGAGCTGGGCGATTCTTCTGCAGGTGTTTGGGTGTCATTAGACAACAGAGGGGAGAGGGGCAAACAGTGAGGGAGGTTTCTCAGAGACTGGGCTGGGAGGCCCTGAAGCACGGGAAGAGGGGTAGGGTGGTGGAAATGAGGACGAGGACGGGGCAGGTGGAACGCCCAGGGTGCCGTGGAGTATTTGGTTCTGAAGCTCAGGATCTGCCAGGGAGGTGAGGCCTCCAGACAGCTCTGCAGAGACAGAAAGAGACACAAAAAGAGAAACTCTGGAACTGAGCCTGAGGAACCCACCAAGACAAGGGAAGGGCGTGCAGAGGCGTCTGGCAGGGTGGCGAAGGCCCGGGTGACCCCGAGCACTGGACCGGGTCCAACTCCATCCAGCAGCTGAGAGCTCCTGTGAACACTTGGTGCGTTACTGGGGGAGTGGGTTCAGTGTGGGTGGGAGCTGTGGAAGGGAAGGAGAGCAGGCGAGTGGGCTGTGGAGGAAAGGGGCACGATGCAGGTGGCAGGTTCAAGAGGGAGAAGCCCTGAGTGTGCAGGAAGCTGAGGGCTCTGTAGCCGCAGAGCCGGGACAGATGTAGACCTAGGGTCCAGCAGAGGCGGGGAGCGGGGGTCCGAGCTGAAGGAAAGGTAGGTATTAGAGGCTGAGAAGGTTGCCCAAAGGCCTTCTGTTTTCCTGGGTGAAGAAGGAGGGGTGCTGAGTGCACCAGGATGGGCAGGTAGGTCGGAGGCCTGAGGAGCCTGGAGTGGGATGGGCAAGAGCAGGAATGATTTCAGGCACTCGAGGGCCAGGGAGCGTTTGTGGACCTGACATGTCCCTACTCTGGCTGGTTAGTGGCTTCCACCCCGTGGAAACCTCTGCAGTGATTCTGTTCTGGTGCTGCCCCTGGGCGGACCCTACCCAGCACAAGGACAGGCTCACACCCAACACTCACCGCTTCCTGGGGAAGGCAGACTGCAGAAGGAAACTGCCTGGGCATGGAGGCTGCAGGGAGGGAGGCTGGAGGCTGCTGCAGATGGGGCAGTGCAGAGGAGCAGAGGAGGCCCTGGGCAGGGTGGCTTCCAGAGGGAAAGTCCTCTGTAGCAGATGTCCCCAGGAGGGCTGGGTGGGATCTGAGCCTGGCACAGTGCCCTCCTCCCCATCTGCAGCTCAGCTGCCTCCCAGAAGCATGCACAGCACATGGCTCTTGGGTGGGATCCATTCCAACCTGCGTCAACTTTCTTGAGCATGTGGAAAAGTTTGCTTCGAAGAGAGTGACTTGTCTTTCACTGGACTCTGGAGGGAAATAGCTCTAAATATAAGTTGGAACCTCAGCAGAAAACACAAACGAGACTTGGTCCCTTTACTGAGCTTTGTTCTGAATTTTAAGACAAGCTCTGAAAATGCCGCATCATAATTTGTATTTCTTGCCAGTGCTTTGTATTTGTGGATGAGAGTAACTTGGGCCCTATGAAGAATTGGGATTCTGAGCCTGGGAAAACGTGACTAGTTCCTGGAATGTGGTATTTTTCCTCCCATACATGTCAGTTACAAATTTAGATTTTTCTGTGCTGCCCACACCCCTGAAGTCCCAAAGTGGCCCCTTTGTGCATTGTCGGGGCAGCAGGCTGCTGTGTCAGCTTCCCCCCTGGGCTCTGAGCCCCAGTTCCGTTCATCTTTGTGGCCCCAGGCCCTGTGGCTTCAGGATGTGGACCAAGTATGGTGAATTTTAGGGCACAGGTTGTGGATTCAGATTGCTGGGCTTCCACATACAAAATGGAGCAGCCACTATGGAAGACAGTATGGAGGATCCTCACAAAATGATAAATGGAACTATCATATGATCCAGCAATCCCACTGTTGGGGATATACTCCAAACAGTTGAAAGCAGGGGCTTGGAAAGAGGTTCCCATGTTCACAGCAGCCCTAATCACAGTCGCCAAGACGTGGGAGCAGCCCAAGTGTCCGTTGATGGAAGAAGGGATAAGCGGTCTGTGCTACAGGATATTCAGACAATGGAATAGTGTCAGCCTTAAAAAGGAAGGAGATTCTGACACATGTTCCAGCATGGATGGACCTTGAGGACATCATGCTGAGTGAAATAAGCCAGACGCAGAAGGACAAATACAGCCTGAGTCCATTTATATGAAGTACCCAGAGCCATCAAATTCATCAAGACAGAAAGTGGAATGGTGGGTGCCAGGGGCTGGGGGAGGAGAAAGTGGGGAGTTACTGCTTAATGGGGACAAGGTTTCAGTTTTGCAACATGAAGAAGTTCTGTGGGTGGATGGATGGATGGTGGTGATGGTGGCAAAACAACGTGAATGTGCTTAATGCCATTGACCCGGACAATTATAAATGGGTAAGATGGCAAAATTTTAATCTTACATATATGTTACTGCAATTAAAAAAAATAATTTTTTAAAAAAGCAGAAGATGATGGAAAAAGTTAGGCAGGAGACACACCCTGAGAAGGACTCCACCTGCCTGTGCTGACCGTGAAGATGGAGGGAGGGGCCTTAAGCAGTGGCCTCTAGGAGCTGGGATCCACCCTCAATTACTGCAGCACAAACATGGGGACCTTAGTCCTACACCCATAGGAACCGACTTTTGCAGTGGTCTCTAGGAGCTGGGATCCACCCTCAATTACAGCAGGAAAAACGTGGGGACCTCAGTCCTACACCCACAGGAACTGACTTTTGCTAACCACCCAGATGAGCAGGAAAGAGATACTCCCTGAGCCTCCAGGAAGAAACATAGCCTGCCTACACCTTGATTTTAGCCTGGTGAGACCTGTACTGGACTTCTGACCTACAGAACTCTAAGATAATACATCTGTGTTGTTTTAAGCCACTAAAAAAGTGGGGCTGGGTTCAGATCCTCTCTGCTGCTTTCCAGCTGTGTGGTCTTGGGCTAGCTACTTAAGCTCTGTGCCTCAGTGTCATCATTTGTAAACTGAGTCCCTAAACGTACACACCTCGTAGGTTGCAGGGGGGATGTAAGTGAGTTAAGAAGGGGCAGCACTCGGCACAGTGCATGGTAGTGCAGTAAAGCCTCAACACATGTTAGCTATTATCGCCACCACCTCTGTGGCCATCATTTCCTCCAGGGCCCAGCTGAAGCTCATCTCGTCCCAGGTCTGCGCCCTCTGGAATGAGGTGGTCAGGTGCTCAGGAACATCCAGCCTTCCTCCTCTCCATCTGCTCTCTCATGCATGCTGTTCCCTGCAGCTTGAGCCCCTGGAATATGGCCTTCTCTTTCTCAAGCTCCCTTTGCCACTGGGCACGGGTTAATGCCTGTGAGTGTGGAGTGGTGGGCACACACCTCTAGATTCAAATCCCAGCTCTGCCTCTTACTAGCTGCATGACCCTGGGTACTTCCCTGACCTGGAAAATGGGAGGTGTGGATGAAAAGATGCATGTGCTTGTGGCAGGAGCAGAATAGGCATGGAGTGGATGTCAGTCCTGTCAGATTGGGTCACGGGTACTCAGTGAGTGCTCTGTTGTCCTGACGAAGCCTGCTTGGGGCTGCGTGGAAGGGGGCGTGAGAATGTCTCTTTTTGCAGTTGCAGATTACGGCAGAATGGAAGTCATTCTCTTCTGCACCTATCCAGCCTCATGCAAAGCTCTGTCCTCTCTCTGAGCTGGGACACAGTGAGAGGGTGCCGCCCAGGGCACCTTCAAGATTCACTTTAGAATCTGAGCAGGGCTGCTGACATCCTGGCACACAGTGGCACACCTGACACCTTTCTGTTGCCCCTTTCTCCCTGGCACACTCTGTATCTGTCTCTCTCCCTTGCTGGACAGGGACGATGTTAACTCACATCTGCACCTGCCACAGGGTGGACACCCGGGATATATCTGGTTCAGGAAAGTCCATAAATGATTCACTCTTTCTCAAATTGGATACCACAGATATATGGTACATTTATATCTTTGTCTCAATGTATAGATAAAGTTCTCACAAAACAGAGTTACACAGTAAACATTATTGCACAAGATATCCCAACGTTCCATGACCATATTTTATGTGATCAATTACAATTCTACAATACCACTAATGCTAAGAGACCATTGAAAGAGTGTGCCAAAATGCGTTTAACCAGTCTTCTACAGGTGGACGCTTAGGCTGTTTCCAGTTTTCTGCTTACAGATAATTACTATAGTGAAGAGCCATGTTCATACACATTTGTTCATATATCCCATTTCCGTATAACATATGCCCAGAAAGGAAATTGTTGGGTCAAATGACACTCAGGTTTCTGAAGCTTCAGTTACACTTAGTATTTCCAAATGGCCGTCCAAAAAGATAGTTACGAAATCTCTACTCCCAATAGGAATGTGCAAGAGTGCCCATCTTCATCTGGCAATGAGTGGTACCAATTAAAATTTTTTTTTTGCCAAATTGGTAGGTGGTATCTGAGATGCTAACACATATTAATCACTGCAGTGTTCCCGGATGTTGAAAATCACCACCTCATTTAACTTGTGGGGAAAGCATCAATGTCCTCAGTTTACAGATGGATGAATGGTCTCAGGGAGGAGGCTCAGGAGCTGCTTGGGGGTCCTGTGCAGTTTGGTGGGAGGACTGGCAGCTGTCCACTACAGGTCACTGTGTCTCAGGGGACCCATGGTCACCAGTAAAGTGAGCCTGAGCCCATGCCTTCCTTCCAGAGTTTAACCTCCTCCAGGGCTTACTCCGGGAACTGGGATTGAACTAGAGATTCCCTATGAGCAAAGTGCTGTGGAAAGCAGAGTAAGGGTATTTTGAAAGGTTTTTCCTTCTTTTAACAAGCATGCATCCCATTGCATTCTGCAGAGTCTTATCTTAGCAGGGATTGGGGAAAGAAGGAATGACAACTCACAGCCGGAGGTGAAGAATGAAGGTCTTCTCTTTCAAAGGAGTAGTTTCCAGCCTGGAGACCTCCTTTGACCTGTAGCTGCTGAGAACTTCTCAATGTTGAGACCTGGGCTCTTAATTCAAATGTCACAGAACTGTCAGATCCCATATACTGGAATTATGAATGAACCTGCAAAGAAAATGGGCTTTGATCTGTTCCTCAGTGAATGTCCCACGGTGATCTTTGAATCTTCTTTTGGTGTCACTAAAGAACGTTTTTAAAAATTTGATGAAAATTTAGCAAAATGAAAAAGTTGGGGGAAAAAAACAAGAACAGGAAATTCAACCCAGTCTCCCACGTTACAATAATAATTTTAATAAAATATAATTTCTAGTTCCTTCCTTTTTAGCTCTTGTTTGCCTATATGAGTTTTAATCCTAGCATATATTTATTCTATAGCCTGATTTTCTTACCTAGGGTGAAATAAGCATTTTCCTCTATTTGAACACAGCCTTTCTAATGACTTCACATGGCTCCGTGGGAGTCCGTCAAATGGATGTGCCACGCTTCAGCATGTGGCATTTACATTATATCCAGGTTTTTGCTTGTACAGATATGACTCTTCATATGAATAAACTTCTACCTTTCTTTAATTAAGTTACAAAGTTTCAGGAGTGGGCTTCCTGGAGGCATCTTTGTCCCATCTGATGCATTGCCAATGTGTTTTATTTTCTTTTCTCTTTTTTTTATTTTTTATTTTTATTTTTTATTTTATTATTATTGTACTTTAAGTTTTAGGGTACATGTACACAATGTGCAGGTTAGTTACATACGTATACATGTGCCATGCTGGTGTGCTGCACCCATTAACTCGTCATTTAGCATTAGGTATATCTCCTAAAGCTTGAGACAGAGTCTCATTCTGTTGCCCAGGCTGGAGCACAATGGCACGATCTCAGCTCACTGCAACCTCCGCCTCCTGGTTCAGGTGATTCTCATGCCTCAACCTCCTGAGTAGCTGGGGTTACAGGTGTGCACCACCACACCTGGCTAGTTTTTGTATTTTTAGTAGAGACAGGGTTTCACCATGTTGGCCAGGCTGGTCCGGAACTCCTGACCTCAAGTGATCCGCCCGCCTCGGCCTCCCAAAGTGCAGGGATTACAGGCGTGAGCCACCATGCCCAGGCGCCAATGTGTGTTCTAATTCTGTCAACTTAACTGCAGCGTGTGAGTGCCAGTTTCAGGGCAATCTCTCCAGCACTGGGTATTGATTAAGAAGAAAAATGTTTTCTTTTAAAAGGTAACAGAAAATAATAGATTCACTTATCCTTTTGAAGATCATAAATCATAGCATTTTCTCATGATTAACTGTAGAGACACAAGGAAGCTGTGTGCAGAGCACTTTCTTGGTGTAAATGGTGAAGGCTTTGCGTACTTCCTACGTGCAGGACCAGATGGTGAGCACTAAGGACGGAAATGTTGATCTCAGCCCCCCGTGAGCTTTACAGGAGTTGTCACATCCTGGGTTTCAGAGGAGATATGAAACTTAATAATAACACATGATTTATGGTTTAAATAGTAGCTGAAGAGAAAGCAGACAAGCTGTCCCTGGACGGCACATGATTAATGGCTAATGATCCAGTGTACAGTTGTTTAAGGGGCCCAGAGGCTCCCTCCAGGTTGGGTGGTCGGAGGAAGCTTCACACTTGGGGCGGGGCGGTGGTGGGATGGTGCTGTGCTTAGATGCTGGTTAGTGCCGTGTGGCCACAGCGGGAAGGTCAGTGTGTTTTGGCAGTGGTGCGGAGGTGGGAAAGCCCACGATCATTAAGGTCAGAGCTGGAGGTGGCCTTAGAGGTCACCAGGAGCTTTGTTTTTCAATTTCAATGTGCCAGATCTCAGCTGGGGTCTTGTTAGAATGCAGGTTCTGGCCGGGCACGGTGGCTCACGCCTGTAATCCCAGCACTTTGGGAGGCCGAGGCGGATGGATCACAAGGTCAGGAGTACAAAACCAGCCCGGCCAAGATGGTGAAACCCTGTCTCTACTAAAAATACAAAAAAATTAGCCGGGCATGGTGGTGGGCGCTTGTAGTCCCAGCTACTAGGGAGGCTGAGGCAGAGAATTGCTTGAACCTAGGAGGCAGAGGTTGCAGTGAGCTGAGATTGCGTCACTGCACTCCAGCCTGGGCAACAGAGTGAGACTCTGTCTCGAGAAAAACAAAAAAAAAAGAATGCAGGTTCTGATTCCGGAGGTCCGATGCCGGTGGGGTGGGCGGGGGTGGGAGGTGCCTGAGAGTCTGCATTTCTGACAAGCCCTCAGGGGCTACTGTAAACCAATCATGGAGAAGCTGGGATCTAGACCAATTTTTTAAAGATGGGGAAACTGAATCCCAGAGAGGGAAAGGTACTTGACCTTGTGTTATTTTTGTTTCACTTTGGCATCTGAAACATATTTTTAAAGGCTTCAAGTAACTTCCAGTCCTGGAAAAAGAGGAGAAATATTTTCTCTGTTCCTCCTAAGTGCAACTGAAAGCCCTGGACATTATATATAAAACAAACATAAGAAGACTGTTATGATGGGGAGAAGAAGGCAGGCAGCTAGGGACCCTGGGACACAAGGAATGACACAGTGGTGACCTCACAACAAAAGCCTGCTCTCTAGCCAAAGGATCGGGAGAGGGCTAGCCTCGCCAGATGCACTTGTTTAGGTAAGAACTGCTCTGCCCTAACCAAATACCAGCCCTTCTCCATGGTGTTGGTGGAGTGGCCTCTCCCGGCCACGATGGTATCAGTAGTGAGGAGATAGAACTCCCGGGAACTCCCCACAGCAGTACCAAAGAACCTCTTTCTTCTTTGGATATCAACAAAGACCAAGTGGGGAACCTGGTGTCCACCCCACGTGACAGCAACACAGTGGCACCCCCCATCTTTTCCTGCCAGAGTGGTGTCATGGGAGCTGGCTAAGATAGATTAAACAAGATCCAGACTCTGAATATTTTATAATACTCAAAATGTCTAAGTTTCAATGAACAACTACTTGTCATAACAAGAACCAGGAAAATTTCACCTTGGATTAAAAGAAAAACAGCACACACCAACACTGAGATGGCAGAGATGTTGGAATTATCTGGAAAGGACTGTAAAACAGCCATTATAAAAATGCTTCAGTGAGCAATTACAGATGTGTTTGGAACAAATGAGAAATTAAGAATAGAGTCTTAATACAGAAATGGAAAAGATACAAACAAAATGAGGGCTTTAGAACTGAAAAATGCAAAAACCAAAATTAAAAACTCAAAAGATGGTATCAACAGCAGGACAGAGATGACAGAGAAAAGAATCAGTAAACTGGAAGATAGGATATAACAGAAATTTCCCAATCTGAACAACAGAGAGAAAATAGACCAAAGGAAGAAGAAGAAGAAGAAGAAGAAAAAATAAAAAGAGAGAACGGAGCCTCAGAGACCCATGGGACTATCATAGACGATCTAACATTTGTGTCATCAGAATGCTAGAAGGAGAGGTGAAGGGGATGAGCTGACAAGAATTGAAGAAATAATAGTTGAAATGTTCCAAACTTGGCAAAAAACACAAACCCACAGTTCTCAAGAAGCTGAGCAAATCCAAAATACGATAAACAAAAAGAAATCCACATCAACACAAATCCACTTTCCGAAATCTGATGACAAAGAAACAAACTTGAAAGCAGCCAGGGAGAAGCAACACTTTACTTATGGGGAGACAGCAATGTCAATGACAGCAGATCGCTCCTCAGGAACTATGGAGGCCAGAGGAAGTGGCATAAGAAGTTTTCAAACGCTGAGAGAAAAGAACTATCAACCTAGAATTCTAAACTAATGAGGAATCAAGATTCTCAGATGAAAGAAAACAGCAAACATTTATTGACTGTCGACCATGCACCAGGCCCTTTTGAGCTGTGAGCTAGAAACTATTATTATCAGCGTCTTACAGAGCAGGGACCTGAGGCTTTGCACGGGAAGTGGCCAGCTAACGGTTTCACAGTGAGGGGGAGGATTCAAAATGGAGTCTTCCCAAAAGCATGAACTTACACGTGAACAGGACTGTACCTTGCAGCACTCTTTGTAAAGCTAAAGATCGGAAGTTTCTCAAGGATCCATCCAAGGGACTGGCTGGACAGTGTCCGCCCACTCTGTGGTGTTGTGTGGGGCTGTAAGAGGCAATGAGGAGGGACTCTACTATCACCACAAAGTTACTGTCAGGATATTGCCGACTGGAGGAGCCCAGGTGCAGAACTGTGTAGAGAATATGCTGCCTTTTATATAAGAAAAAGGAGGAAATAGGAGTGTGTCTACATATTTGCTTTTATTTTGAAAAGGAGACAATGGAAGAATAAACCACAAGGCTACAAACAGAAATGTACCCTGTTTTATAAGCTGGCTTTGCAACGCTGCAAGTGTTTTTTAACTAGAAAACAAAATTAAACTAAAACGAATAAAAATCATCTCTTAATATTGAAAACAAACGGTCCTGTATACAAAATTGATGGCTTAACCTCACAGAGAATTGTTTCAAGTGACTTTGAACGCAGTAATTCGTGCATTCCAAGTGGGACAAAGAGACAAAAAGAACCACAAATAAAACCTAAACTGTGTTCAGTAGTCTCATTGTTGGTAATAAAAATGGTATTGTTTTGAAACTATGATATATACAAATTTACATATGTGACCATAAGTAATTGTATTAATATCTTTGAGAAGGTTTTCATTGTGAGGGAAGAAGTATAAATTAAGTAAAATCTTGTCGTCATTAGTGAGAATTAGAAACAGCAGTGTTAAATCCTTGCTTTATTCCACACATAATTGCGTTAATATGGTCAGGAGTGACCACAGCCCCACACCAGGCCTCTTGCTCCCATCCAGACCCTACTTCCCACCTCCCACGGAGTTCCTTGTTGGCCCAGGCATTGCTCTTTGCTCATGCCTGCCCAGGGGGATGTTCCTTGGTTGGATGGGGAGGAATAGGCTATATCCATGGCTTCTGCTGCCCCTGAAGCCAGCCTGCAGATGTACCCTGGGGTCCCCTGGTTTCTGATCAAGTCCCTGGAGTGCACGCACCAGCTGCTGCCCTGGTGTGCAGGCTGCAGTGGTGTGGGGCACCCAGGAAGCCTGAGGCCTAAAGAACTGTCAGTCATTTGGTAGGCCGGAAACCACCCTCGCCCAGGACTGGAAAATATCCTCCAGGCTGAGACCTGACTGCCAGGACAGGCTGCAGCCCAGGGGGAAGGAGTGACATGATCATTCGGCGCCGGCCCAGAGCAGGCCTGTGCTGTTTTTTGTTTTTCTCTGTTTGTTCAACCCTCCTCCTCCCGGCCTTCAGCAGACCCGGCCTACCACGTGCTTCACCGGCTCTGCTGCAGTGCAGAGTGGGTATGTCCTATGGGAAACCTCATTTATAGTCTGAAGGCCCCAACAGCCATGGACTTGGGGGGCTGGTTTACCTGTAGGTCTGCTTAGACTCACCGTGGGTCCTGGCCCTTTGTGTCTTCTCCTTGGGGTCTGCTGTCTCAGAAGGTGTTTGCACCCTCACTGACAGGCTCTGTCTGGCACAGGTCCTTCACTTTGTCCAGTTCCAATGATTGGACACCCTGTCCGTGGCTCTGGGCCCATTCTGGATGCCTCCCAAGTCCCCACCATAGTCCTCCTGGGCCTCCATCACTGCTTTGTTTGTCTGCAGATTACCTTCGTGTTATGGGTTGAATTGTGCCCCTTCAAAAAGATGCTGAAGTCCTAACTTCTGGTACCTGCAAATGTGACCTTATTTGGAAATAGAGCCTTTGCACATGATCAAGTTAACATGAGGTGATTAACACGTGCCCTAATCCAATATAACCGTGGCCTCATGAAAGAGGGAAATTTAGGCAGGGGCATGGTGGCTCACATCTGTAATCCCAGCACTTTGGGAGGCTGAGGTGGGCGGATCACCTGAGGTCAGGAGTTTAAGACCAGCCTGGCCAACATGATGAAACCCCGTCTACCAAAAAATATAAAGAAATTAGCTGGGCATGATGGTGTGCGCCTGTAATCCCAGGTACTCAGAAGGCTGAGGCAGGAGAATCGCTTGAACCCGGGAGGTGGAGGTTGCCGTGAGCTGAGATCGTGCCACTGCACTCTAGCCTGGATGACAGAGCAAGACTCTGTCTCAAAAAAAAAAAGAAAAAGGGAAATTTAGACACACACACACCCTGGGAGAATACCGAGTGAAGATGAAGGTGGAGATGGGGTAAGCCACTTACAAGTCAAGGAACGCCACGATTTCGAGCACACCACCAGAAGCCAGGCATGGACCAGACCCCTCCCTCAGCCATGAGGAGGAATTAACCCCTCTGATGCCTTGATCCTGCACTTCCAGCCTCCAGAAGTACCAGACAGTCAACATGTGTTGCTTTAAACCGGTCTGTGGAACTTCGTTATGGCCACCCCAGGAAGCTGATGGTGCTCAGTAAGGAGGTCCCTATTGGGGCCATCTTGTAGTTGTCAGGCCTGCCTCTCATTTTAAGGTGCTTTGAGCCAACACTTCAGAATCCTCACAGATCTCATGTAAAACTCGGATTTCTGGTTTCCCTTGGAGAATCAGAACATCTGCCAACACGGGGCCATTCCTACTTGGCTGCAGGTGGCTGGAGCAGTGCTGGCCACCCCCTTGTTTGCCAGATTCTCTCACCTACGCAGTGCATGTCAAGGCACACACACTGTTGGCCAGCGCACTTCGCCTCACACATGCCTGACTTCTCTCAGCGGGGACCAGCTTCTGAGCTTCTGACCTTTGCTCTAGGACCTGCAGATGGGGGCTGCACCTCCCCTTTCCCCACACCCACTTCCAGTCCACATCGCAGCAGCTGTCACCATCACCCACTGAGAGCCCAGCCTGTGCCTGAGCCCACACCTCAAACCTTGCTCTCTGGCTAGGACGCAGCCCTTTCCTGTGCAGGGACCTCGAGGGTCCCACCTGTTGCCTGTCCCCATCCTCTCGTTTTCATCTGCTGCTGCTCCCAGGGTCCGCCCCACCATGGGCAGCCTCTTGACCCCCAGGCCAGGCCTCCTGAGTCCCAGAGCCAGCAGCTGACCCTCTCACCAAGGGAAGGCAGGTTTTTTTTTAATTGGCATTTTAAAACTCAGAGCAGTTAACTGGTCTGTCTGCCCAACTTAGCAGTTTCTCTTACACTTCAGTGCCTCCTGTCCCCGCCTGAGAATATCGGAAATCGGGGGTCGGGGGTGCGATTGTATGGGAAATTGTGGGGGATGAAAAACAAAGAAGATATGTGACTCATTTTATGCCTCAGACGAAAAGATGACAGGAACTCAGGCCACAGCAATTCAGAGCTCCACCTGGTACAGCCAGGAATGTCTTTCCTGAGATGAGGTGAACTCTTTTTTATCTTTTGCAGCATATTACTTGATAACATACAAAAGATAGTGTCCAAGTCACAAAGCAAAATGTGATCATGAACACCCGAGGACCTGTTTCCCAAGGAGAGACACACAGCAGGGAAGCCCGCACCCTCCCCTCCGGACCTAGCCCAGGGCTCTGCCCGCTCCGCCTTGGGGAATCCTTACCTGGAGTTTTAATTTGTATGCCCCTTCCCCTTCTTTTTTTTTAATGTTTTATTTAAAATAATTTCAAATTCACAGAATTTGCAGAAAAGTTGCAAAGGTTTAAAAAAGTACAAAGAACACCCATATATCCTATACCCAAGTTCACCTTTTTAAATTTTACCCCATTCTTAAAATTATTTATCTCTCTCTCCCTCCCTCCCTTTTCGCACACACAGGCACACACATGCGTTTACATACGTGCACATAATTGTATCAGAACCATTTGATGTGGTCACCTTATGTGCAGCCCCTCACCCCTAAATACTTCAGGGTGATGACAGGAATATTCTCTTACACAACCACATTAAGGTCACTAACTTTAGTGAATTGACCTAATTATGCCGTTTTGTAGCATTTTCTGCCTGCAATACAGGAGCCAGTGATATGTCCTCAGCACTGCCTAAATCTGTAGGAGCATTTTCACAGACTGTCTTTGTCTTTTACATCATTGACTTTTGTTTTTTTTTGGAGACAGAGTCTGTTCGTTGCCCAGGCTGGAGTGCAGTGGTGCAATCTCGGCTCACTTTAACCTCCACCTCCCAAGTTCAAGTGATTCTCTTATCTCAGCCACCACGCTTGGCTAATTCTTGTATTTTTAGCAGACGTGGAGTTTCACCATGTTGGCCAGGATGGTCTTGAACTCTGACCTCAGGTGATCCACCCGCCTCGGCCTCCCAAAGTGCTGGGATTACAGGCGTGAGCCACTGTGTCTGGCCAGCATTGACGTTTTTAAAGAATTTATCTTTCCTCCACTTTCTCTCCTTTTTATAAAATAGAAAGCTCATTGTTCTGGGTTTTTCTAACGTTCCTGACTGTGCTCGTCTGTGACTGGCATCGTGTGTGGGGTTGGCCCGTGCTGCTGGTGGTCGGGAGCTGTCACTCATTCAGTCCTGGTGCTGTGCTGTCACACTGCGTGCAGCGTGTGCTGCGGTTCAGGGGCGTGTGGGCGTGATGGTGGACTTCGGGTATTTCCAGTTTTTTGTTACAGTAAACAGTGCTGCCGGGAACGTCTCTGTGCACGTCTTCTGGCGTGTGTGAGAGTTTCCTTAGGGTTCATGCCCAGAAGTGGCGTTGCTGGACCGTCAACTATGTGAATGTTCAGCTTTTCAATATGATTCCAAAATGTTTTCCAAACATCCTAACGTTCATTTGCAGTGAACAAGACTTCCTGTTGCTCCACATCCTCTCCAGCACTTGATGTGGATGAACTTCTTACTTTCATGACAATCTAGTGTGTAAATGGCCTATGAATTATTGTCTCTTTGTGGTTAATCCAAACCACAAGAGTTTCTCTGATTACTAAGGACACTGAGGATCTTTCCATGTGTTTAGAGTGTATGTGTGTCACATCCTGTGAAGCAGAAATAAGAATACCAACTCTTGTTGGCTGGGCGCAGTGGCTCACGCCTGTAATCCCAGCACTTTGGGAGGCCGAGGCGGGCAGATCACAAGGTCAGAAGATCGAGACCATCCTGGCTAACATGGTGAAACCCCGTCTCTACTAAAAATACAAAAAATTAGCCGGGCGTGGTGGCGGGCGCCTGTAGTCCCAGCTGCTAGGGAGGCTGAGGCAGGAGAATGGCGTGAACCTGGGAGGCAGAGCTTGCAGTGGGCCGAGATCACGCCACTGCACTCCAGCCTGGGCGACAGAGCGAGACTCCATCTCAAGAAAGAATACCACCTCTTGTTTGCTACTTACCATATGTGAAAATGATTTTAAGTACAGATCATTGATCATGGAAGCAGCTTAAGAAGGTAGCGTGATTCTTATCTTCTTTTCTATGCTTGTATTTTGCCTATTCCCTATCAGATTGTCGGTCTTTGTCCTATTGACACCTTCTTAGTGCCCTTCTGTTTTAGCCGTCCTTCCCTGACACGGCCCTGTAGGGGAAGGGTGGGTGCCGCCCACTGCGGGTGGAGGTGGAAGTCCAGGCTCCCCGCAAGGCCTCTGCTGACACCCAAGGCAGGGCCCTGATTAGTGCTGGGCTGGCTGGGTGGGAGTTCCTGGTCTCCAGTGGTGCCCCAGGTGGGGCCTTGTCACTGGCCTGCTCACATGAAGGCCCAGCTCCCTACTTAACCTTGTCTGAGGCTACCCCAGCAGGGGTGTTGGCGTACCTCAGCACAGCCTCTTGAGGGACTAGAGTGGCAGTTGCCTAATGCCCTCTATCATACCAGGATGCCCCTTCCCTGGTCCTTTGGCTAGAAAGAGCAGGCTTTTGCTGGGACTTTTTTTTTTTTTTTGAGACAGAGCCTTTCTCTGTCACCCAGGCTGGAGTGCAGTGGCACAATCTGGCTCACTGCAACCTCCCGGGCTCTAAGCGATTCTTCTGCCTCAGCCTCCCGAGTAGCTGGGACTGCAGACGCCCGCCACCATGCCTGGCTAATTTTTTGTATTTTTAGTAGAGACATTTCATCATGTTGACCAGGCTGGTCTCGAACTCCTGACCTCAGGTGATTCACCCACCCAGGCCTCCCAAAGTGCTGGGATTACAGGCGTGAGCCACTGTGCCCGGCCTGTTGGGGCTTTTTTTGGTCTGTGCCTTTTAGTGTTTCCAGGTTACTCATTTCCTCAGCTCCAAGTCTGGGAAATATGAGGTAAAAAGAAAAGCCAGAAAACTGACTGCTGTATCATTCCTTGGGTCCCAAGGTCCCTAGTTGGCCTGTCTTCTCTTCATGGTAAGAGTCTTCTTACATTTTTATATGCATATTTTATAGATAATGCCCTGGGCTTTTATTTGTGCATAGTGGGAGAAACAGGGAAAACTATATCTACTCCATCTACCTAGAAACTGGGCCCTATTGACTTGTAAGAGTTCTTTATGTATTGTGAATACTAATCCTTAGTCGAGAAGTCATGTTACACCTATTGAAAATATTTCGCAGTTTGTGACTTTCTTCATTGTATTTTTGACATCTGTTTTGACAGATGTTCTTGATTTTAATCTAGTTGCACTTATCTGTCTTTTGTTTGTTTTTTCATTTTAGGGTTAGTGCTTTTTGTTTCTTGTTTAAGGAACATTTTCTTACTCCAAGTTTAGAGAGAGAATCTCTCATAATTTCTTCTAAAAATTTTAATGTTTTTGCTTTTCACATTTAAGTTGTTTATCTACCTGGAATTGATTTTGGTGTATGTTATGGGGTAGGGATCCAATTTCTTTTTTTTTTTTTTCTTTTTCTGGGTTTTGTTGTTTTTTGTTTTGGTTTGTTTTTTGAGACAGGTTCTTGCTCTTCCTCCCAGCCTAGAGTACAGTGGTGCAATCATGGCTCACTACTACCTCGAACTCCTGGGCTCAAGTGATTCTCCCACCTCAGCCTCTCAAGTAGTTGGGACTAGAGGCAGGCACCACAGTACTCGGCTAATTAAAACCATTTTTTTTTTTTTTTTTTTTTTGTAGAGATGGGGTCTTGCTTTGTTGCCTAAGCTGGTCTCCAACTCCTGGCCTTAAGTGACCCTCCCGCCTCGGCTTCCCAAAGTGTTGAGATTATAGGCCCAAGCTACCACACTCAGCCTCAATTTCATATTTTTAAACAGTCTCATTGAAATATAATGGAAAATTAACATTTAAAGTGTACAGTTTGGTAAGTTTGACATATATGTATACATACACTCATGAAACCATCACTACAGTAAAGAAAATAAACATATACATCACCCTAAAAGTTCCTTCCTGCCTCTTCGTTTTATTTTTTGCTTCTCCACAGAGTAAGCTCTGCCTCCTGCCTCTTTGTAATCCTTCCTCCCTGTACCTCCCCACCCTCTCTCCATTCCCAGGTGACCACTTACCAACTTTCTGTTACTATAACTTATTATGGGCTTCCAAGAAGTCTATGTAACTGTAATCATACAGTATGGACCATTTTGCTTGATATGGTTTCTTTCATTCAGCGTAATTATATCAAGATTCACCCATGGTGTAGCATTTATAAATAATTTGTTCTTTTTTATTGTCAAGTACTATTCTATTGCATGTCTCTAACACAATTTGTTTATCCTTTTGCTAATTGATAGATATGTGGATTGTTGCCAGTTTTTTATCTATTACAAAGAAGGCTGCTAGGAACATTCTTGGACCAGTCTCTGTATGAACACATGCTTTCATTTCCTTGGAGTCAAATGGTTGATCATTTATTAGGTATACGATTAACTTTTTAAGAGACTGACATGACAGTTTGTGTGATGCCACGTTACAGTCGTGGTCATATCTTCCTGGGTTCCTCTTAGCTGTGATAAATTCTCAGACTTTGTTTTTGATGACCTTGACAGTTTTGAGGAGTACTGGTCAGGTATTTTGTAGAATGTTCCTGAACTTGGGTTTGTTTGATGTTTTTCTCATGGTTGAACTGGGCTGATGGAGATGTAGGAGGAGGGTCACAGAGGTGAAGTATCCTCATCACAGTGTATCAAGGCACGTAAGATCAGCGTGACATCGCTGCTGATGTTGAGCTTGAGTCATCTGGTGGGGCAACGTGTGTCTGATTTTTCCGCTGTAAAATTATCCCTCCCTTCTCCTCCTTTTCAGGCAGCGAGATCTCTTTCATCCTCTAATTTTTAAAATAGCACCATGTCCGGTTTCATAGGCGCGTTTAAAAAATCTCTCTGAGAGTGTTGATATTTTTGTGGGGTTTTATGTGTGGGTGTTTTTTCTGTTTTCTTTCCTTTTTTGGCTGATATTAGTCAGATGTGTTTTTAAAGCTTTTTGCTTTTATTTTATTTATTTATATTTTTGAGATGGAATCTCACTCTGTCACTGAGGCTGGAGTGCAGTGGCATGATCTCAGCTCACTGCAACCTCCGCCTCCCAGGTTCAAACAATTCTCCTGCCTCATCCTCCTGAGTAGCTGGGATTACAGGCAAGGACCACCATGTCTGATTAATTTTTTTTTTTTTTTAGAAGAGATGGGGTTTCACCGTTGGCCAGGATGGTCTTGAACTCCTGACCTCAGGTGATCCACTCGCCTCAGCCTCCCAAAGTGCTGGAATTACAGGTGTGAGCCACAGTGCCCAGCCACTTTTTGCTTTTAATATGTCTATGTCCTTTATGCGTTAGGCATGTCTCCTGTAAACAGTACATAGTTGGATTTTTTAATCATCCAATTGTCAATCTGTTTCTTTTACCTAATAATTTTACTCTACTTAGATATGTAGTATTTATTGATTTATTCGGACTTAAAAATATTTTAAAAATATTTCCAATTGTCTCACTTTTTCTAGGCTTATCTAGTTCTCACCTTTATAATGATCTTATTTTGTGTTTATATTCCCTTCTTTTCATTTGTTTCTATCAGTTGTAATACACACACTCTACTATTTTTCTCATTTTTTATTGAAGTAAACTTAATAAATAGTAAGATGCACAAAGCCTAATTGTTAGTTTTACTGGACACATAATTTTAGGCTGTCAGATACTTTTTTTTCAACACTCGGAGGATATTCTACCATTTGCTGGCTTCTAGTATTTGTGTTGATAAATCTGTTGTCATTCTAATAGTCATGCCTTTAAAGGTAAAATGTGTTTCTTTAATTTTTTATTTTTATTTTTTTATTTTTAAGTTCTTTTATATATATATATATATATATATATATATATATATATATATATATATATATATTTAAATAAAGACAGGGTCTCGCCATGTTGCCAGGCTGGTCTCGAACTCCTAAGCTCAAATGATCTCTCACCTTGGCCTCCCAAACTGCTGGGATTATTGGTGTGAGCCACCGCACCCAGAGTCTATAAATACTTTTAAGATCTTTTCTTTGTCTTGATGTTGGGTACTGTTGTTGTACATAGGTGTTGATTTCTTTTTATTTATCCTGTTTCAGATGTTTTGCTTCCTAGAGTTGTGAATTTATTCTTTTTCTTCAACTTGGTCATAGGAAATTTATATATATTCTCTTTTAAATATGCCTTTTCTCCAATTTTTTTATTCTTTCTTTTTGGGACTCATTCTGTTCTTCATATGTCATTTTTATTTTCCACATTATGTCTTAATAAAATTGCATTCTTGGTAATATATTTGATATATGTTCCAGTTCATTAATTCTTCAGCTTTATCTAATCTCCTATTTAACTCACCCATTAAATGTTTTTATTTCAACCATTATACTTTTTGTGTATAGATGCTACATTTCCCCCAAAACTTCTTACTCAGTCCTCGTAGTCTCTTCTTGTTTCCTTATCTTTGTGATTACATGTTTCTGTAAACATTTTATGTGTAGCTGTTCTGTAATTCCATTTCTGGTCATTTCGGTATGGAGGAGAGACATCTTTGTTGCTTCTTGTTTCTCCTGACTCTCATCCACAGGGCCTTGCCTTCTTCCACGTTAATCTTTGATTATGAGCTCATTGCTTGACCATCATTTGTGGGACTCCTTACTCTAAATTGGAGAATTTTTCCTCCAGGTCAGATTTGCTTCTCCAACGGCCAGCAGCCCTGGGGATACACTGCTGTGGAACTATATGAGCCATTTCTGAGGATCTTGATGCAGCAAAGCTGGACATTCCAGCCCAGTTTCCTTTGCTGTTGACTTGAGGCTCTGTGTCCTGATAGCGATGCCTCTGTTGCCATTAGGACCGCGTGGCTCCTCAGGTTCCTTGCTGCTCTGGCACTGCACAGCTCATGGTTTTGTTTTCTATGTAGTGGGTGGGATCCTTGACAAACCATTTGCTTCTTTTGGTAGCAGTACTGACTCAAAGAGTGTTTCCTATCCACAGAACACCGTGACAGCCATTATACCAGACGTAGAGTTCTGAGATGAGATTTTTCAGTCCTCAGCCAGGAAACCAAATGGAATTCTAGGAGCTTAAGACAATGTGTCTCAGGAGGACAAGGATCCTCTCAGAGAGGCCCAATGAAGCCACTGGGCCTTAAAAATCAGGTCTCACGCTCCCATGTTTCAGAAGGCTATTAGTCACTGTGTTTTTTATGTAAGATTTCACATGAGAAATTTCTTTCAGAATTGAGTGCCAGGAAAAGCTTTGTTTTGCCAGAGGGATTAGCCTACTTCCTCTGTCTATGGCAAGAGCTTTGTAATACATCTTATTTCCCTTTTTGCCCAAGCTGCCAGGAAGCAGTCATTGATTAAAAACAGATGCCAAATCATATTGGCTTGTTTAGTCCTTAGAATGGGCTTCCTCCTCTTTGTCATAGTCATGATTTCTACTTGTATGTCTATAGTAACATTTATAGCATATCTACCTAAATAGCTCTTTTATGGGAAGAGGCAAGTTATAAGTAAAATAAGTTAAAGTTTATAAATATTTTACATTTACATTTTCTTCCCATGTATTCTTAAAATATCAAAAAAGATTAATCTGAAATATTTATGCAAATTAGTCCGGCTACAACTTCTGAAGCTTCATCCCTAAGACATGAGTAAGTGAGCGTGGCTTCCCGTAGAACAAGAAGGCATTCCTTTCTCTGCCCTTCTTTCTCATGGGCAGCTGTGTCCAGACTGTTCTGAACTGGAGTCTCCATTTACCTCCCTTTCCCTTCATTGTGGAGCAGGGGCAGAGTGAGTGGCTTCGGGGCCTCATCTTGTTTAAGATTAAAAACTAAACCGTGTATATACTAAGACATTTCCCCAGAGAGTTGAGAGTATACTAACACACATTCTGTTCCCAGCAGGTGAAAGGGGGTCGGTATTTTAATCCCTCATATTATGGATGGCAGCACTCAGGTACCCTGGACAAGCTCGTTCAGTGAGAATCCTGCCTCCTACCCTGTCCCATGCGTTGATTCAGTTATTGACTATCCCTTCTGACCAAAGGGGTGAAATGAAGCACTTAAGAACATGGGTTTGGAGCTCGACTGCCTGGTTCGTATCTCTCTGCCACTTACCATAGACTTACTTATTTCAGCAAAGTTACTTCCCTCTCTGGGCTGTAGTTTTCTCATCTGAAAAATAGGAAAAGTAATAGTGTCTATTGCCCAAAGTTGTCATGAGGACTAAAAGACTCAATATAGGGAAGGTGCTTGGAACGGCTAGAAAGCATTCACAGATGTTAACCATTGTCAATGCTATGGGGATTCCTTCCCATCTTTTACTTACCCTGTCTCCTGAGCCTCTCTAGCTCAGCCCCCACTATTTTCATATTGCAGCTTGCTGTTTCTTGGTCCCCGTGCCCTCTCTCCTTCCTCCCCCTTCCCACTCTCCTTGACCAGCTTCTTCCATCCCTATGGTTCTAGCCTCCCTCATAATCTGAGGCTAGCAAATTCCTTCCCAGTCTGTTTTCCATGCATTGGTGCCCTACAGTCAACTCCCCACCCTTCTCCCCCATCTCAGAGTGGCATCTAGCATCTCTCCAGAGGATTCGGGCTGTTAAGTTTAAATGTTCTTACATTCATTCATTAATTCATTCATTCCAGTAGTGCCTCTGGGTCTTTCCCTCACTGAAGTTCACGATTGGCCTCAGGTCTGGGGCTATGTCAGACCATCCTCTATGCCCTTGACTTTGATCACTTATGATTCTCACCATGAGCAGAATATTAACCTCTGTAACCCAAATTCATCCTCTCTGAATTACAGTTCATCATGGCCTCACTAGTCCCATCTCAGGCTGTGCAGAGGGTGCCTCTGACATCTCAGCCACACCGGGAGCCCTGCTGCTGATGGGCGGGGTGCAGGGAGCCTGCAGTGCAGGGAGCACAGCTTCATGCCTGGCGGCAGGCTGATGTCTAACAACTACCCACATGGAGACTGAGTGCCAGGGTCCTGGGCAAACCTCAACCTGCAGGCCCAGGAGGAGGCTGGTCCCAGACACTGGCAGTGTCTCTGGTGACCCCAGCTTTGCGAGACCCACATCTGACTATGGGCATGTCATTATTGGGGCTGAAAACTCTGTACCCTCACCTACCATTTGATGCCATCCACATGTGTCTCTGGGCGTTCCGGGACCCAGAGGCAGATGTGCGTGTGCTGGTGCAGGTGGGAAAATGTCATTGTTCCCTGTGGCCCACCTCGATGTCAGGGGTCTTCCAAAGCCTGGCTCAGGAGGGCAACTGCTGTGACTAACAGAGGAGGGCTGCTAAATACTGGATGAGGTGGAAAGGGGCTGTTTGAAGGTGTTAGGGATGTACCGGGGAGCAGAGCCTTCTTGTTTGGGGAACCAGGCAGCAAGTCACCTCTCACCCAGCACTCTTTTGTTTGAGATGGATGTCGCCCAGGCTGGAGTGCAATGGTGCAATCTCGGCTCAGTGCAGCCTCCACCTCCCGGGTTCCAGTGATTCTTCTGCCTCAGCCTCCCAGGTAGCTGGGATTACAGGCACGTGCCACCACGCCAGGCTACTTTGCATTTTTAGTAAAGACAGGGTTTCACCATGTTGGCCAGGCTGGTCTCGAACTCCTGACCTCAGGTGATCCGCCTGCCTCGGCCTCCCAAATTACCCAGCACTTTTGATGCAGAGGTGTCCCTGTGGGGAGCAACCCCCATCCTCCCAACACATCACGTTCATGGCATGTGACCTGCTGCTATTGGGCCAGTCTCTGCTCACCTTCCCATCTCTCCTAGGAAGGGCTGTGTGCTGTCTGGCTTGGTCGTCTCTCCAAGTGTCTCCTGAACCAAAATCTCACATGTCCTTGTCGGAGAATGAAAGCTCATTTTTCAGAGGAATGTTGTAAGATTTTCACAGCCTCCTCTTGATATAAGTGAGACACTGTGGGGTATTGCAAAACAAGATGTGATCCACACTCCCGTATAATGTTCACCCCTGCCTAATGTGATTTTTCTAACAGTTGGATTGGAAACAGATCTGAATGCCAAAACAAACCTTCATGTTCCCACATACAGGAGAGAGGGGCTTAAATTCCAATTTCTTAAGTAGTGGCAGCTACATTCACGCTAGTGGCTCATACCTAATAAAAGTCTGTTCTGGGATTTGTGAAAGAGTAGGTTTTGGATTGGCAGTGACTTGTGGCCTGTCACGATTGCATGCATTGACATTTGCTGGTGGGATTTAGTTTCCCCTGCAGAAGACCCTGCCAAGGGCCAGGGGTCCTCAGTGCATCAGCCCAGGAAGATGGTCCCCGAGGGGTTCGGCAGCTTTGCTTTGGAAAGGCCTGTAATCTTTTGCGTGCAGCCACTGTATTTCCAGATGTCAGGTCTGCTGGCCACCTCTGGCCTACCCGGGCCTGAATGGGCCAACAGAGAAAACTCTTTCCTTGAACTTTCCTCTCTGGAACCTTGGAGGTGTGGAGATGGCCAGAGCGGCTGGCAGGGCCTTGAAACTTGAGGGCTGGTCTTCAGAGGTTACTCCTGCAAAAATGAGTTAATGCTGGTGTGAGTGTCATGTGCAGAGTAGGGCAGGTGGCTGACCTGGAGAACTCTGTGAATGAGGCTGGGTGGCCCACGTGGATGGAGGCCTGCAAGGCACCATAGGGTAGGTCCTACTTGCCAGCGGCACCCTTGACCCTACCTGTTTCCTACATTGGAATAGCCCTGAGGCCACTACAAAGCATGAGTCCTTTGCAAGGCAAGTTGGAGGCCTGGTGAACTCCGTGCCTCGTGGAGCAGGGTTCAGTGTGGACTGAGGTTCAGTGTGGGCTGGGCCCACAGATAGATAAGGAATGGTGTATGGCCTGGGGAAGAGATTTCTATGTGTCCTGGGCTCCCAGATCCACAGAAGATGGGAGCTGAGGGTGCCTGGAGATCACCTCCTTTCCCTCACAGCGAGGACCAGAATCTCACTCATTCAGTGCCTGATGCTGGAGAACAGGAATAGCTAGTCAGAGTCCCTGTGCTCAAGGAATTTCTATTTAAAGGGTGAGAGACCAACAGTCAACCAACAACTAAAGCTTTCCTTAACAGATCACACTTAAGAGCAGCTTACCAAGGGCCAGGCACTTTCTAGAATGAAGTCATTTAGTCCTTTCCATACCCTGTGAGGTAAGTGCTGTCATTACCCGCATTTCACGGACAAGGAACTGAGGCACAGAGAAGTTCAGCCACTTAACCAGCGTCCTGGGATTAGAAACTATGGAGCTGGCATTCTACTACAGAGAGCCTGGCTCTGGATCTGTGCTCCCAGTGCCCAGGCCAGACACCTCTCAGGAGCCTCTGTTGTGAGGTGGGGCCTCTATGGGAACAGGTGATGGACACTGGCCTGTTCTGGACATTTCGTGTACGTGGAGTCATACGAGATGTGGCCTTCTTGCCTGGCCTCCTTCACTTCGTGTAACATCCTCGAGGTGCATTTGCGTTGTGGCATGGATCACTGCAGCGCTTCATTCCTTTGTATGGCCTGGATTTCTTTGCTTGAGCTGCCATAACAAATACCACAGACTGCACAGCTCAAACAGCAGAAATGTATTGTCTCATAGTCTCAAGGCTGGAAGTCCAGGATCAAGGTGTTGGCAGGGTTGGTTTCATTTTGAGGCCTCTCTCCTGGCTCGTAGACGGCTGCCTTCCCTGCGTCCTCACACGGCCTTCCCTCTGTGTGTGTCTGAGTCCTAACATTCTCTTCTCAGGAGGACACTGGTCCCGTTGGGGTAGGCGCTGCCCATACTCCCTCCTTTGACCTGAACTCCCTCTTTAAACAGAGGTACTGGGGATTAAGACTTCAGCATATAAATTTTGGGGGGACACAATACAGTTCATAACATGGCCAAATAATAGTTATTTTTACTGATTCAAGTATTTTTATTCAAAAATAATAATATTGAGCACTTTTCTCTAGTAATATTGAATACAATTTCAATGCTTCTTCAATTCAAAATTATTTGAATAGAATATTAAATTCGATTTGTATTAATTGAATTGAATATTTAAAAATTGAATAATTGGCCTGGTGTGGTGGCTCATGCCTGTAATCCCAGTACTTTGGGGGGCCGAGGCAGGTGGATCACCTGAGGTCAGGAGTTCAAGACCAGCCTGGCCAACATGGTGAAACCCCGTCTCCACTAAAAATACAAAAATGAGCTGGACGTGGTGGCAGGTGCCTGTAATCCCAGCTACTCCGGAGGCTGAGGCAGGAGAATTGCTTGAACCCGGGAGGCGGAGGTTGCTATGAGCCAAGATGGCACCACTGCACTCCAGCCTGGGTGACAGAGTGAGACTCTCTCTCAAAATAATTAATTAATTAAAATATAAATGAATTAAAAAATTGAAAAAAAAATCAAGATGTTTCATTTTCACCAGAACACCTTTCGAGGGGACGTGGAATCTCCCTTGCCCCAGGCTCTGTGGTCCGCTCTCTGCTTGTGCTCCTGTCCCAGGCCACACCCTGTTATGACCCACCCACATTTCAGTTTTCATCCTTGGTTTACACAGAAGCTTTTGGGCCAGATTTTGAGGATCCTTAAATGTAGTTCTGAGGGTTTAGCCGTTGTCTGTAGGCAGTGGGTGGCTCCACCGTGCACAGTTCCCTTCCTCTGCAGAAAGTCATGTCTGTGCTGCTGACTGCCACCAAGTCAAGGCTAATTGTCCTGGGAGTGAGCTCACGTGGGAGGGGCTGTCCTTCTCAGGCAGTTCGTAATGGAGGACAGAAGGAGAACTGTCGTCCTCTTGGGGTCACCAGCTTAGACCGTGTAATTAGGAGAGGCTGGAGAAGAGAGGAGATGGCCACGAGGATGAGGGGCAGGTCTTGAGTTCTGGGAACAACACACTGTCCTTTAGTAATCTCCCCCCTCCTCGTTCTCTTCTCTCTCTTTCCCTTTCTCTCTCTTCTCCTCCTATCTCTTTGTCTCCTCTCCTCCGTGTCTCCTCTCTCTTTCCCCCCTCCTCTCTCTTCTCTCTTCTCCTTCTTTCCTCTTTTTCTCTCTCTCTCCTCTCTCTTCTCTCTTAGCTTTCTTTGTCTCTCGCTGTCTCTCCCCACTCCCCTCAAGCAGACAAGCCTAGTGGAATAGAATAAAGAAAGAATGAATTATAACTTTTCCCTGAAGATAGAGGTTGTTTTAAAGTCAAGCTCCTCGAGGTATAATTTACATGCAGTAAAATTCACTCTTTTTAGGTATCCAGTTCTATCAGTTTTTTATATGCATTTTTTACTGTGGTAAAACATACATAACATAAAATTTACCATTTAAATCTTTTTTTCTTTTGAGACAGGGTCTCGCTGTGTCACCCAGGCTGGAGTACGGTGGCACAGTGATAGCTCACTGCAGTCTCAAACTCCCAGGCCGAAGCAGTTCTCCGGCCTCAGCCTCCCTAGTAGCTGGGACTTCAGGTGCACACCACCACATCTGGCTAATTTTTTTAAAGATTTTTTTTTTTCACTATGTTGCCCAAGTTTAAACCACTTTTATGTGTACAGCTCAGTGGCATTAAGTACAGTCACAGTATTGTGCAGCCATCACCACCATCCTTCTCCAGAACATTTTCATCTTCCGCAACTGAAACTCTGTACCCATTAAACGCAACTTCCCACGCGTCCTCCCTTCAGCACCGGTAACCTCTATTCTACTTCTGCCTCTGTAAATCTGTCCATTCTAGATACCTCTTCTCAGTGGAATTCTACGGTATTTATCCTTTTTGTGTGGCTTATTTCACTTAGCTTAATATCCTCAAAGTTTCTCCATGGAGTAGCATGTGTGAGAATCCCCTTCCTTTTCTCTCTCTCTCATTTTTTGTTTTTTGTTTTTTGTTTTTTTTGAGATGGAATTTCACTCTTGTTGCCCAGGCTAGAGTGCAGTTGTGTGATCTCGGCTTACTGCAACCTCTGCCTCCCAGGTTCAAGCGATTCTTCTGCCTCAGCCTCCTGAGTACAGGCGCCCACCACCACACCCAGCTAACTTTTTTGTATTTTTAGTAGAGACAGGGTTTCACCATTTTGGCCAGGCTGGTCTCAAACTCCTGACCTCAGGTGATCCGCCCGCCTCGGCCTCCCAAAGTGCTGGGATTACAGGAGTGAACCACCACACCCAGCCACCCTACCTTTTTTAAGGCTAAGTGATCTTCTCTTGTCTGGATAGTCACAAACTGCTTATCCATTCATCTGTTGATGGATATTTTGGTCCTTTCTACCTCTTGGGTATTGTAAATAGTGCTGTTAGGAACATGAGTATGCAAATACCTGTTCAAGTCCCAGCTTTCATGGCCTCTGGGTCTGTATCGAGGAGCGGAATTGCTGCATCCCGTGGTGAGGTGCAAGAAGCTGGGGTCAGAGACCTTGCTGCAGTTTGGTGCCCGGTGGCTGCATCTGCTGCACCTCCCACCCTCCCGACTTCCTAGCCCCTCTCTGGGTATCTTTGACAGTCCGCAGCCTTTATTCCTGCCTCTCCCCCAGCCCCAGTCTGTGATGAACTGCTTCCTGTGCTGTAGTTGTCTGGGTGCTCCAGAGGGACTGAGCCAACAGGATACATGTGAAAGAGAATTTATTGGGAAGAATTGACTCACATGGTTGCGAAGGCAAAGTCCCATGACAGGCTGTTTACAAGCCGCAGAACCAGAGGAGCCGGTAACGTGGCTCAGTCCAAGTCTGAACGCCTCAGAACCAGGGGAGCCGACAGTGCAGCCCCTAGTCTGAGGCTGAAGGTCTGAGAGCCCCCAGGGGGTTGCAGAGTCCAAAGGCAGAAGGACCTGAAGCCTGATGTCCAAGGGCAGGAGGAGAAAAAGTGTCTCCCTCCAGAAGGGAGGGGAAGCAAGAGGGAGCTGAATGTTCCCCTTCTGTCTGCTTTGTCCCTACTGGGCCCCCAGCCGTTGGGTGGTGCCCACCCACATTGAGGGCAGATCTTCCCCTCTCAGCCCACTGACCTCCATGCCATCTCCCCTGGAAACACCCTCACAGACACACCAGCCATCTAGGGACCCCTCCATCCAGTCAGGTCGACAGCAATAGGCCACAAGGATGAGGGGCAGATCCTGAGGGGCAGAGCCTTCCCAGGCGCTGAGTTTGGTTTAGAATGGTCTCTGCAGGGAAGTGCAGTGAAGCACCCGTTGGAGAGCTGGTGTGTTTGCACCGCTGCTCAGCGACTGCTCCTGTGTTTGCTGACCTTGCAGAAGTCCAGGTGAGTGCTCAGACACCACCTCTTCCTTCCTAAGCCTGGCAGAGCCCATCCCATTTGCTTCCTTAGCTACCCTCACGGAGCTCCAGAACTCTCGTCTGGTGCCTCCTTGAATTTACATTCATTGAATGTATACATTAAATATGTACAGTTGTTCATGTCAATCATACCTCAAAGCGTTTTTTTTTTTTTTAAAGAGTCATAGGCATATATGTGTGCTTCAAACTCCACGCACCGTTTTGTCTATAAAGTGGCGGCCTGCTGTGCAAATCTGAGTTTGGGGATAAGAAGAGAAAATTGGTGCAAGACTTCAACGATAGGTCTCATGTTGCATTTTAAGGAAAACATTGAATATAATTGGCGTCTGATGGCGGTGGCGGTGAGGGAAAGGAAGGAATACTGTATTCTGCCTGGAGAGATCACTAGAAATCTTCATGTGCCACAAAGGGAGAGGAGGTCACACGCAAATTTAGAGATTCCGGGTCTGGGGTCAGGGATTCTGCTCTGATCTGTGAGAGCCTTGAGGATGATGCTGTGAAAATTCAGCAGCTCCCCATCAGGCAGGTGACAGGGGAGAGGGCTATTCCTGGGCAAATCTCTAGCAGGCTTTTCTTGGGTTTATGTCATCTTCCCTTAATTGAATTCTGACTTTTCATATAAATTGAGAGGCCTGAGTGCACCAGATCACCCAGACCTTGCCAAATAAGAGCTTCATCTCAGGTTTGTCCCTTCTAATGAGGAGTGAGAACAATAGCTCCCCGGAGTGCTCCGTGTGTGCCAGGCACCCTGCCGTGGGCTTAATGCATTATTCTCATCATTCTCACAGTAGCCCAGTGAAGTCATGCCTTCATATCCTTGTTCTGCAGTTTCAAGGAGGTTAAGTAACCCAGCCAGGGTCTCACAGCCAGCACTGTCTTATTTGTTCTTAACCCCCAGCCACAATGTGCTCTTCTGCACAGAGCTGATGGGGCAGGGACACCAAATTAGAGAAAGCTGATGACCTAGAGCAGAGGCAGTTTCAAATGTGGCTCTTGTCTTCCTGTTCCAGTGACCCAGGGTTTTCAGTGGGATCTGGCTGTTCCGAGTTAGGATGGAACTGGGTATGTAGTTATCATGAGTGAGTTAGGGAAAATGCTGAGCAGCTAAACTGAAGTTTCTCTGCCTCCACTGTCACTTATCCATCCTCCCAGTTTTCCCAGGAGAGATAGGAGACGCTGTGGCAGTTGGGTCCCAGGACTCTCCGGAGTCATTCCCCGGACAGGCATCACATTGGGAACCTTACAGCCCCATAAATGTCTGGCCATCCTGGGGACTGCCTCATTTCACCCCATTTTAAAGTTTAACCATTTTAAGTTCCTTTAAAATAATACTGAGGCTGATACAAAAATTAGCTGAGCATGGTGGTTGCACGCCTGTAATCTCAGCTACTCAGGAGGCTGAGGCAGGAGAATCGCTTGAACCCAAGAGGCAGAGGTTGCAGTGAGCTGCGATCACACCACTGTACTCCAGCCTGGGCAACAAGAGCGAAACTCCTTCTCTAAATAAATAAATAAATAAATAAATAAATAAATAAATAAATAAATAAAACTGAGGCTGGTACCATGACTGCCTTCAGAGATTGATTTACCAGGGAAGCCCTGGCCTGGGCTGGAGATAGTGTGTCAACTGGGACTTGGACCTGGCCCCAGCCTGGAGCCTCTAGATTCTGAGAGCGTCCTGTGCAGAACACTCAGGCACTGAGGTGTCAACTGGGACTTGGACCTGGCCCCAGCCTGGAGCCTCTAGATTCTGAGAGCGTCCTGTGCAGAACTCTCAGGCACTGAGGGAGGAGCATGATCTGTGTAGGTTGATTCTGGAATGCATGAGCTACCAGTGGATAGAGAGCGTCCAGTTTTAAGTCCTGTGCCATTGATGTGGCCGAGGGTGGGGTGCAGCCTGGAGGTCCAGAGGAGGGATGTTTAATTTCAGCACCCCCGTCAGTTTCCTTCGTTTCCCCACTCAGGGTGTGAAACGCCATCTTAGCATCAGCTTGAAGTCCAAGGCGAGACACAGTAGGTTCCTGTGAGTCTTGCTTACACTCTTAAGTGTGCCTTCCAACTGGTCCTACTCACTTGGGCTCCTTTTTAGATACAGAGCCTCTTGGCCTTGGCATGTCTGAAGTACGCTTTGGGTTTTCTTTGGCTGTTTAGCTTCTGTCCTTCCTTTTTCACCCGGCTCTCCCTGTGGGCTTCATGTTTGTGGTCCAAGAGTCACCTCTGCTTTCACAAAACCACCCAACTGTCTCTTCCTGAAAGAGCCTCTTGGAATTTGCCAATTATTCGTTTCTTTTTTTCAACCCTCCCAGTTTCCTTTTCTCGTTGAGCGTAGTAACCGTTCGGCTTTTTGCTAACGGCCGTGTCTTGTCAACGTTTTGCTTTCTACACGTGGTAATTACGCAGTGCGCTCTGAGACTTCTCATCACGGTTCACCCTCGGGTATTCTCTGCGCTGGATCTTACTTATGCTGCAGGATTTCTTTGCCTCAAGAGTACTAAGCCTCCCTGGGCTAAGAAAATGCTGACCTTTCTGCTCATCCCGGTGAGGGGCCTGAGCAGCTTGAACACGTCACCCACTGACAACCGTCCTCATTCTGCAGCTGCCTGAATCTTGTCGAACACTCCCACATCTTCAGGACATTCAAGGTTGTTCACTTCTAGGGTGTTTTCAAAACTACCTGGTTGAAGTTTACAAGAGTCAAATCTGGTACCCAGCTTTACATGTGTATTGCACGTCCACATCAGAAAGTGACCAGGTCATTTCAAACAGTTTTAACTACCTAGCCAAGTGATTTTAACACAGGACATCATCAGTTGAGGGCAGAAGTCTTTGTTATCTTTCAAAGGTCTAGGAATATGCAATTTGTATTTGCAGCTGCGATTCTTTTTTCTGCAAAGCACCCCGGCACCCCTCCCACCACTGCTGCCCAACACAATGAACAGCTGGAGCTGAGGTTCCCCTGGCCACTCAGCTGGGGCAGATTTTCTTCTTAATGTCAAGTTTTACTCTGTACTCAGCTTACTCATCCTGACATTTCTGTGTTTTTTTTTTTTTTTTTTTGAGATGGAGTCACTCTGTCACCCAGGCTGGAGTGCAATGGTGTGATCTCGGCTCACTGCAACCTCCACCTCCCAGATTCAGGTGATTCTCCTGCCTCTCAGCCTCCCGAGTAGCTGGGATTACAGGCACATGCCAACACACCTGGCTAACTTTATTTTTTTGTATTTTTAGTAGAGACAGGGTTTCACCATGTTGGCCAGGCTGGTCTCGAACTCCTGACGTCAGGTGGTCTGCCCACCTTGGCCTCCCAAAGTGCTGGGATTACAGGCATGAGCCACCACACCCGGACTTTTTTCTTTTTTTTGAGACAGGGTCTCACTTTTGTCACCCAGGCTGGAGTGCAGTGGTGCAATCCTAGGTCACGGTAGCCTCAACCTCCTGGGCTCAAACAATCCTCCCACCTCAGCCTGCCAAGTAGCTGGGACTACAGGCACACACCACCACGCCCAGCTAATTTTTCTGGTATTTTTTGTAGAGATAGGGTTTTGCTATGTTGGCCAGGCTGGTCTCGAACTCCTGAGCTCAAATGATCCGCCCTCCTGGCCTCCCAAAGTGCTGGGATTACAGGCGTGAGCCACCACATCCTGCCTATCCTGACATTTCTTTACAAACAAAACTACACCAATTTCATATTGTTGGAATGAGGTGGGGAATAAAGGCATAAGCTAACCAATAGCATATTGCTGGAATTTTTGGAGTACATTTTTACACATTTCATTAATTTTTTAGGTCAAGATTGCCAGAGCCGTAAGCGAAGTCCTCTAAATTTATTTGTCTGTTCAACCCACATTTATTGGATGCCCACTTTGCTAGGCACTGGGGGTCCTTGGCCAGAACCTAACATCTAAGGGACACTTCCGATATGCTGGACTCTTTACAAATATGGGCTTTTATTTATCAGAAAGAAAGAAACCATTGTGTCTGGCCTCACTGCTCTTTTTTTTTTTTTTTTTTTTTTGAGACAGAGTCTTGCTCTTTCACCCAGGCTGGAGTACAGTGGCGCGATCTCAGCTCACTGCAACCTCCACCTCCCAGGTTCACACCATTCTCCTGCCTCAGCCTCCTGAGCAGCTGGGACTACAGGCACCCACCACCACGCCTGGCTGATTTTTGTATTTTTACTAGAGACGGGGTTTCACCGTGTTAGCCAGGATGGTCTCAATCTCCCGACCTCGTGATCCGCCCACCTCGGCCTCCTAAAGTGCTGGGATTACAGGCGTGAGCCACCACGCCCGGCCCGGCCTCACTGTTCTTACAGTTTCGGGAGCCAGACACACTAGTCACATAAACAGTCATAATGTCCCATGGTCACTGCTAGTGGTCTCTTGCATGAGGATCCTAGGATGAGGGGACAGCTAACTCTGTGGGGTAAATCAAGAAGGGCTTCTGAGAGGGGACCTCGGAGCCATCCTTGAGGGACACCCAATCTTCGTTCTTTCAACAAAATGCTGTTAATTTTCTTTGGTGCATTGTGCCTTGCTTAATTTTTAATAGATTTAACATTAGAATAATCCCCAAAACAGAAAAAATGAAAACAAACTTCTTTTGAAAATCTTGGTTGGGCGTGGTGGCTCACACCTGTAATCCCAGCACTTTGGGAGGCTGAGGTAGGCGGATCACCTGAGGTCGAGTTCAAGACCAGCCTGGCCAACACGGTGAAACCCCATCTCTACTAAAAATACAAAAATTAGGCAGATGTGGTGGCATATAATCCCAGCTACTCAGAAGACTGAGGCAGGAGAATCGCTTGAACCTGGGAGGTTGCAGAGAGCCGAGATCATGCCATTGCACTCCAGCCTGGGCAATGAGAGTGAAACTCTGCCTCAAAGAAAAAAAAAAAATCTTGCCTAGCACAGAGCCGGTACCCAGTAAAATGTGCTCTGTAGTGAAAGGAAGCAAGTGCGCGTTGCTGAGTGTGTACATCCCTTTTCTTTGTGCACTTCCTGCTGACAGCATCACAGTTTTCTTTGAAGAGGAACCCCGCTGCACGGGCTCCACGTGCTTTGTGGGTAAAGATGGCCGCATTGGAGATGGGCCCCGTAACCTAATACTGGAGGGAGAAACCCAAATAAAATCCAAAGAAAAGGAAAGAAAACAAGTATGGGAGAGGGCTTCATGCCTAGGAATAGAAGTGAAGCTTTTCTGAACATGCCTTGTGGTTTTTAGGTTTGACTCGGGAAACGTAAATATTTTTATGTAATTATTTAAAACTGTAATAATTTTTAAAGACTGGAACTCATAATTTTTTCACATGTGCCTTCCCACTTCTGAGTTGTAGTCAGCTGGGGTGCTGGAAAGCCAGGAGAAGGGGAAGATGTGAGCAGAGAGAATCTAGAAATGCTGTGTCTTGAGGGCGAGTGGATTCCCGGAGGTCTTTTGTTTCTTGGAGCGGAATTCTGACAGTGTCTTTCTAGGGATGCCTCTAGCACCAAGATTCCTACCATTCAAGATTTTTTTTTTTAATTCCTCAGTTTTATGTGGCATCTAATGCCTTCTCCATATACTTATCTCCCCAGTAATTCAAAAGGGACTCATTTGAAGAACTGTGTGAAATTACATGCAAATATTTAACTCTAGATATCTGCATAACATTGCCTTAAGATGGTCATCAGTGACCTGCTTATTTA
Organism: Homo sapiens; assembly: GCF_000001405.40. Lineage (NCBI taxonomy): Eukaryota > Metazoa > Chordata > Mammalia > Primates > Hominidae > Homo > Homo sapiens. Next base: position 178,483,152 of record NC_000005.10, on the reverse strand, counting down.
TCCTATTCACATTTTAAAATTTTGGCACAATGTACATAACATAAAATATGACATTTTAGTTTTTTTTTTCTTTTTCTTTTCGAGACAGAGTCTTACTCTGTTTCCCAGGCTGGTGTGCAGTGGTGTGATCATAACTCACTGCAGCCTCAGCCTCTTGGGCTCAAGCAATCCTCCTGCCTTAGCCTCCCAAGTAGCTGGGACTACAGGCAGGCACCACTAAGCCTAAGTCTTTTCTTTTTTCTTTTTTTTTTGAGATGGAGTCTCTCTCTGTTGCCCAGGCAGGAGTGCAGTGGCGCGATCTCTGCTCACTGCAAGCTCTGCCTCCCAGGCTCACACCATTCTCCTGCCTCAGCCTCCTGAATAGCTGGGACTACAGGCACCCGCCACCACGCCCGGCCGATTTTTTGTAGTTTTAGTAGCGACGGTAGCAACGGGGTTTCACCATGTTAGCCAGGATGGTCTCGATCTCCTGACCTCGTGATCTGCCCTCCTCGGCCTCTTAGAGTGCTGGGATTACAGGTGTGGGCCACCACGCCCGGCCAGCCTAAGTCTATTGTAACCATTTTTAAAAGTACAGGTCAGTGGCATTAACTGCATTCACATTGTTGTTCAGCCATCACCACCATCCATCTCAGAACCTTTTTCTTCATCTTCCCCAACTGAAACTCCATACCCATTAAACGATAATTCCCCAATCCCCTCTTTGCCCCGCCCCCGTTCTACTTTCTGTCTATATGAGTTTGCCTACTCTAGATACTGCATATAAAAGGAATCATAAAATATCTGTCCTTTTGTGTCTGGCTTCTTTCAAAAGCTCATTAGCAAAATACCTTCAAGGTTCATCTGTCTATCTAGTAGCATGTATCAGAACTTCATTCCCATTTAAGGCTGAATAATATTCCACTGTATGTATACACCACAATTGGTTATTCATCTGTTGATGGATATTTGGGTTGTTAACCTTTTGGCTGTTGTAAATAGTGCTGCTGTGAACGTTGGTATAAAACTATCTGTGTCTTTTGGGAATATACCTAGGAGTGGAATTTCTGGATCATATAGTAATTCTGTGTCTGACTTTTTGAGAAACTACCAAATTGTTTTCCACAGCAGCTGCGCCTTTTTTTTTTTTTAATTATACTTTAAGTTTTAGGGTACATGTACACAACACGCAGGTTTGTTACATATGTATACATGTGCCATGTTGGTGTGCTGCACCCATCAACTCGTCATTTACATTAGGTATATCTTCTAATGCTATCCCTCCCCCCTCCCCCGACCCCATGACAGGCCTGGTGTGTGATGTTCCCCATCCTGTGTCCAAGTGTTCTCACTGTTCAATTCCCACCTATGACTGAGAACATAGGTGGCAGCTGCACCATTTTTAATGCCCAGCAGTCATGCACCAACTTCCCCGAATTCTCATCCATGCTGTCATTTTCCCTCTTTTTAATCATAGCTATACTAATGGGTATGAAGTGGTATCTTGTGGTTTTGATTTACGTTTCCCTAATGGCTAATAATATTGAGCATCTTTTCACGTGTTTACTGGGCATTTGTATACCTTGACCAGGTATAAATGTCTATTTAAGCTCTTTGCCCATTTTTTAATTGGGTTGTTTTGTTTTGTTTTGTTTTTGTTATTGAGTTGTCAGAGTTCTTTATATGTTCTGGTTATTAATCACTTATCAGATATATGACTTGCAAATTCTCTGGGTTGTCTTTATACTCTCTCAGTAGTGTCCTTTGATACACAAAAGTTTTTAATTTTGATGATGTTCAGCTTATCTGTTTTTTCTTCTGCTGTGTGTCATATCCAAGAAATTATTTGCCAAATCCAGTGTCATGAAAATTTTCCCCTATGTTTTCTTCTAAGAGTTTTATAGTTTTTACTCTTAAGTTTAGGTCATTGATCTATATTAAGTAATTTTTATTATGGTCACATTGTTTTTTCTTTCCTTCACAACTCTGAGGGAAAGCTTGTAAGTCACATTTTCTTTCTTTCTTTTTTTTTTTTTTTTTTTGAGAGACAGTCTCTGGAGTGCAGTGGTGCGATCTCGGCTCGCTGCAGCCTCCGCCTCCCGGGTTCAAGCAATGTTCATGCCTTAGCCTCCTGAGTAGCTGGGATTACAGGTGTGTGCTACCATGCCCAGCTAATTTTTTTGTATTTTTAATAGAGACAAGGTTTCACCACATTGGCCAGGCTGGTCTCGAACTCCTGGCCTCAAGTGATCCTCCCACCTCAGCCTCCTAAAGTGCTGGGATTACAGCCGTGAGCCACCGTGCCAGCCCAGCCCACATTTAATGTTGATGTTAAGAATGTCTGTGGATATCCCTGACATATTATACAAAGATGGATTCACACAGTCCAACCTGTGAAAAGCAGGCTTTTTGCATCCTTGTTGACTAGATACCTAGAGTAGGTATTATCCGTGACCATTACATTTTGACTTACCTTGTTCATTTTCCCTGTGAAGTTTCCTTTTGGGTTTGAGCTGTTGAACACAGCATAAGGGAGACACCACTGCTGACTGCATATGAGACAACACAGAGACGTGCCATGCAAAGCAGGAGGCTGAAAAATATCTGGGGTCATTTTCAATTGTTAATAATGAAAGAATGCTCACAGGCCTGGTGCTTTCAAACTGGGTTGCAATGGTGTTAGTGGGATCTTGGGATGGGCTTGCGGGTGGGAGGTGCACCAGGTTCAGGAGCTCTGGGAGACTGGGCCCTGCACCAGCATTTCACTATTTGAGAACTCCTTCTGGCTCCTGCGGAGGGAAACTGTGAAGACTCCGAGGTGACCGGTGGATCCAGGGCAGCAGGATTAGGACCTCCAGAGTCCGGGTCTGGAACCTGACCTGTCTGAGGGAGGCAGAGTTTTAGTTTGGTTTGGTTTGGAGAATAATCTTTGGATTCCTCCCCCAGCTTCAACAATTATCATCAACTTCCTGATCAGGCTTCATCTATCTCCTCCACCTATTTAAAAAATTTTCTTTTTTTTTTTTTTCTGGAGTACAATCATGCACCACAGAGTAACATGTTGGTCAACAGTGGGCCACATATATGACCTGTGGACCTCTACAATTATAATACCATCGTTTTACTGTATCTTTTCTGTGTTTCGATACACACATACCTACCGTTTTATCTCAGTTGCCTATGGTACTCAGCACAGTAACAGGCTGTACAGGTTTGTAGCCAGGAGCAGTGGGCTGTGCCACACAGCCTGGGTGTGCAGTAGGCCGCCCCATCTAGGTTTGTGTAAGTTCATTCACTCTATGATGTTCACACAATGACACAATCGCCTAAGGACATGTTTCTCAGAATGCATCCTGTCATTAAGAGAGGCATGACTATATTTTAAAGCAAATTCGGACGCCTTATATTTCACTTACAAGTATTTTGTTGTTCATCTCTCAAGGATTAGGGCTTTTTTTTCCTTCCTGCATAACCACAACGTCATTATCACACCTAAGATTAACATGAATCCTTAATATTACAGAATTTCAACCCCAATTCACATTTCTCCACTTGTCCCTAACATGTATCATCTCATCCTGGCATTTCCCAGACTCCCTCTGGCCACTTCCTGGGAACGGGTCCCATGTACTCTGGTCTGAAGGAGCCATGTGTCTTCCTGGGGTGTATTAAAGAGCTGTGGACACCTGGAGGGGAGAGCAGCCTCACCGGCCGCTGTGGCGCATGGGTGAGCCGGCATCTCCATGGCAGGTGATAAGAGAAGCTGCCCAGTAGAGGAGGCAGGAGGGACATCAGGGCAGCAGCTCGGGGTTTTTTTCGTTGCTGTGGTTAGGAGCACAGGCGTGGGAGTGAGAGCCTCTGTTCAGGTCCTGGCTCCCGACCTCCATAGCTGTGTGATTTGGGGCAGGGGGCTTTACCCCTATGAACCTCCATTTCTTCAGCTGTAAAATGGGTATGAATAAGGGTACTTGCTTTCTAGGAAATCCTGCACATAAAGCGCCTGATGGTGTTAAGTATCTGTGAGTGTTGGCTGTTGTCATTACCACGGTCATCATCATCATCATCATCATCATGAGGGTGATCCTTGTGTCCTGATGAAGGTCCTGGGCCACTGAGATGGCTGCCCTGGCACATGGCTGTCTCCCTGGGCCTCACATGGCCCAGGAAGCCAGGGTGACAAGAAAACTCAATGTTTTTAGGAGTAGCTCCTCTTCTCACACTGACAGCATTTTGGAGCCCAGTATGGCACCCGAATCCAGAAATTCTGGCAGAGTCTGTGCCGCATGCCTTTCTGGAGCCAGGATCTCTGTGCCTTTATCCTCTGGGGTAAGTCTTCTCATAGAGTCTTCTCTGAAGCAAGAGGGCACCCAGAAGGCTCTGGTACCCTCAAAAGGCCCATCAGTGTCTTTCCTGGCTACTTTGCTTTAAACCCAAGAATATCTGGCATCAAAGATAAAACAACTGGCCTCGGGTATTTTTCCCAAATATTAATTGAAAACATTAACTTGATTTCTCCAGACACTCTCTCTGTGGACACAGGAAGGGAGGGGTTGGCAGGCACAGGAAACGTTTGCCGCCCAGCTGGGACCCATTTCAGGGGAGCCCACCCAGATGTTTCCCGGACTGTGGGCCTCAGTGCTGGTGTGGGGGATACTGGATGGAAAGCACAACTTCCAAGTAAAAGGGAACAGAGCTAGGAAAATATGCAGAATCTGGGCAATGAAGAAGTGACATGTAGGTTGTATAAGAAATGGCACTATCGTTTTGAGTCTGGAGGCCAGTTCCTCTGCAGTGGACTCCTCATAGCCCAGGGGAACAGTTGTTCCAGTTAGTCCCGGATAACCCTAGGTTGCTTCCCAGGTGTCTCAACCCCTCACTGCATTCTCCTGACCCTCCAGGCATCTTGGCAACCCACTGATTCTCCTGGCCAAGCCCTGGTGAAGATGGCATCTTCCCATCTCACACATCAATCTCCTGTACAGAGCTCGGAAGGGGCTTTCATCTTTAATGCTCCAGTGAGGTTCAGGGAGGCCTGTCGGGGGCCCGCAGGCACTGTCTGGCTCAACTGATTGAGGCCCTGCAGGACCGCCCCACCCAGGCCCAGCCTCTTCCCTGCCTGTTCTCTCCGAGGCTAGAATCCCATGCTCCCTCCTCCCACACCCTGGGACCTCCCTCAGGTGGCATGAAGGGCCTAGGAGGAGGCTGCCTCTCTGATAACTGGCACCTGCCTTCTCATGTCTAGTTTTGTCTAAGTCTCAATTTTCTCATCTGTGAAATGGGGTCAATCACTCCTACCTCCTACGGCTCTCGCAAGCATCAGAGTGGCAGACTTCACCCATTAGCACCAGCATCCGAAAGAATCCCAGCCTGTGAAGCAAATGACTCGGGCTGTATTTCAACAAGGCTTTCCTCTCCCTATTCTACCTTCTCCAGGGAAGAGCGGGAAGGAAGGAGGGGTACGTTGACAGTTGCACACATACATGTTTTCACTCGCAGAGGGTTCAGGCTGTTTTGCATTTCTAACACGAACTTCGGGTGTCCTTCAAGGTTTTTGCTTCCTGATTAGGCAACATGCACAGTGATTAACCACTTCTCCCTTTGGGTACAAACTGTCTAAAAGACCCACTGGCGCCTAATAAGGAGACATGAAAGACACTCTTTTGAGGACGTTCTGCTTCTGCTGTCTGCTTTTCATTTAAACAAGCCATTTGTTTTCAGTCAAGATGGATTGCTGGGTTACATTGGTGACTCAGCACCCTGCATAAATATGGGTAAAACTAGAAGATTCTGTGACTCCAGTGGGGCAGGGAAGATCCATGCCTGACAAGCCTCTCTGCCTCTGCCATAGCATGAGTTGATGCCTTCCCCAAACCCCAGTCCCTGTTTCTCCTGCTCAGAGCTCTGTGAGCCCCAAGATGACTTCATGGTTTCGTTGTTTTCTGAATCCTTGGGTTGCCCTGAAAACAACCTCTTCCAGTAAATAGAAATAAAAGTGCTTCAAAGTCATGTCAACAGCCGCTATCTCTCAGCCTCTTATGGCGCTTTACTGTTTCCATGAGGCAGATCCAGCCGTCATTGCTTACAGAGCCCCTTCCACAGCCCCTGAGAATATCCGAAGCCACATATTCTGTTAACCCTACTATAGGGATGGGCAAAGTGAGGCCAGAGGAGTTGGGTAACACAGGTAGAAAATAACAAAGCTAGGATTGGAAACCTGACTTTCTGACACTTTGGGTTCAAACCCTGGCTCTACCACTTTATATTTGGAATCTCAGAGAAGTAGTTTAAGTCATGTGAGTCTTAGTGTTCTCACCTGCATAACAGAGAAGTTAACAGTGTCTGCACCAAAGGGAGGATGAGATGACATTGCACCTAGGAGGTCCCTAGCATGGTGGCTGGCACAGAGCCAGTGGGCCCTGGCACTGTCTCTGATCTGGCCAAAGTGGCCCCGCCCATGTTGTTGACAGGCACACACCACGCACATCCAGGGCCCTTGTGGAGTTCACAGAATGCTGCTGGTTACAGCGCCACAGTGGAAGAGGAGCACGGCAGGCAGAATCTAAGACAGCCCCGAGATTCCTGCCCCCAGCGCACACGCTTTGTATTCTCTTCCCTTAAGTGTAGGCAGGTCCGTGGATATGATGCGGTATTACTCTCATGATTATGTTACATTATATAGATAAGGGAATTTGCCATTTGTTCAGTGAAAGGGCAAAGCGGCCCCCAAATACCAAAGGAGCCAAAAAACCAAAGAAGAGGCACACAAATCCAGATTGTCAGTAAAGGTTGATTTATTGGGGAACTTACAGACAGAAGCGTGGTCTTGGGTGGCTGCAGGACAGGTAGATCTCCACTCTGTTACTCAACAGACCAAGGGCTCTTATACCGCTGGGAAAGGGGTATGTGCTCCAGGGAGACAGTGGGAGGCAGCCCTACAGAACGGCAGGCATGCTGTATGCGCCATTTCCTATTATGACGCCTATTATTTGTGGAGTAGCATCAAGGTTGACATGTTCTTACACTAGGGACAGTAAACAAAGTAGAAATCAGGGGACATTCACAGGACTAGGGCTAATCAGAATTCAACATGGCAGATTAGCGTCCAAGATGGAGTCACTGTTGTGTCCACACCAATTGTAATTAAGTTTACTAATCAGTTGACTTCAAGTTTGCCGAAAGGGGGATTATTCTGAGTGGGCCTGACCTAATCACATGAGTCCTTTGATTCTGGGTCTAAAGATCAGAGATAGACGATGTCCAAGGAATTCGAAGAATTAGAGGCCTTCGCAGGGGTCCTCCCAGCCAGGAGCTGTGGGCAGCCTCCAGGAGGTATGAGTGGCCCCCAGCCAACAAGCAAGAAAAGGGGGCATATGTCCAACAACTGCAAGGAACTGAATTCTACCAACAGCCACAAAAGCTTGAAAGAGGCCTCTGAGCTCCAACAAGGAGCACAGCCCTGCCAGCACCAAGATCTCAGCCTCGTGTGACCCTGAGCATAGACTTGTGACCTATAGAAACTGTGAGTTAAGCTTTAAGCTGCTGAGTTTATGGCAATTTGTTATGCAGCAACCGAAAACTAACACAACAGGCAAGGCCACTATTGGGTAATCGCATACATTTTATATTGCCGCAAACAAATTACTGTAAAACATAATGGCTTACAAAGCAAGCATTTATTATCTTGTAGTTTCTGAGAGTCAGGAGTATAGGCACAGGGGCTCAGCACCTCTGCCTCGGGGTCTCTGCCTGTACCCCCTTCACCAAATGTCCCCATGGCTCATTCCTTCACTTCATTTTGGTTTCTGCTTCAATGGCATCTTTTCCAAGAGGCCCTCCTGGACATGCCAGCACCCATCACTCTCTGTCTCCCATATGGCCACTTAATTTTGTTTTCAAAACACATGTTATGTGTTAAATTTAACATATCCCAAAAGATATGTTAAAGTCCTAACCTCCATTGCATGTGAATATGACCTTATTTGGAAAGAATGTCTTTGCAGAGGTAATCAAGGTAAGATGAGGTTGTACTGGATTAGGGTGGGCCCTAATCCAATGATTGCTGTCCATTTAACACAAGGGAAATTTAGACGCAGAGACAGATACACAGGAAGAATGCTGCCATGTGACTGTGAAGGCAGAAATTGCAGTGATGGATCTACAAAGCCAAGGAATGGCAGGGATTGCTGGCAGCCACAGGAATGTAGGAGGGGCAAGGAGGGACTCTCCCCTAAGCCTTCAGAGGGAGTGGGGCCCTGCCCACACTTTGATTTTGGACTTCTGTCCTCCAGAACAATGAGACAGTAAATTTCTGTCGCTTTAAGCCAGAAAACTAATACAGTGCTTATTACTATCCGCTCCCCGCCTCCTGTTCTGTCTAGTTTATGGTTTATAATCTGTGTTCCCTGCTGGAATGCAAGCTTCTTGGGAGCAATTGATTTTCTTTTGTTTGCTTTGGAATCCCCTGTACCTAAACTGGTGCCTGGAAAAAAGGACTCAATAAAAATGTACTGAGTGAATCGATGAATATTTATTTAGTAAAAACGTGTTCAAAGATAAGTCCTCTGTATGCCATGTTCCTCTACAGTTAGAAAGGTTAAGAAAGAAATACGACAAATTCACTGATTTGTTTCAATACAAATTTTTTTTTTTGACATCTCACAAGGAGAGAGAAGATACTGTGTTTTAGGAAGAAATATTTTCAATAAAAACCTCAAAAATGAAATCCAGTAAGTTAATTATTTAGTTATGAGTAAGACCAAGGAATAGGACCTTTTACCATTTATTTTATATGTAGCCCACTGCTATATTATCATAAAATATTTGGGAACTAAATTTCACTGACTGCGTGTTTTTGGAGCAGGTCACAGTTTCACTGAAAACAAGGAAAGAAGAACTAGGCGGGATAACCCTTAAAATCAATGATGAGAGAAACTGAGACAAAATTCTGGCTTTCTGAGGCTCCTTTGAGAGTCTGATGAAAGCCAAGGACTTGGACAGAGCTGCGCATTGATGGGAAGTCACACGTGTAATTTAAGGGTTGTGAAGATTTCCTGTAGCCCAGGTTAAGAACTCTTGCTCTGGAGAATGTTTCAGAGTAACTCCGTGTTCCTTGCTGCGAACACCCTCAGTTCTCTTGATGACGTCAGCTTTCCTGTGGCCGGGGGTGAGGTGGGTAAAGTGTGTCTACATTAAAGCTCAGCACAGTTTCTTTAGGTTGCAGGGAAATAAAAATGATTTGACCCCTATTAAGGGAAATTAACTCATTTGAACACAAAATTCATAATCTGGTCTGGTTGTTCAGCATCTTTCTTTCGAAGCTTTCAAAGTGCTTCTTTTTAAAGCAACCATAAATAAAACCCCATAGGGGTGCTGGATGACAGTGTCAGCGTTCATGAGAGGCCCACTCAGTGAGGTTTTGGGAGTGCAGGGGTTTCGCTAGGGTAAGGCTGATCATAGGTGAATGTTGGAAGAGTAGAAACAGTATAGTCAGTCGTCCCTTGGTATCTTCAGGGCATTGGTTCCAGGATCCCTCATAGGTACCCAAATCCAGAGATGCTCAAATCCCTCATATAAAATGGCATAGTATAATCCCAGCACTCAGGGAGGCTGAAGTGGGTGGTTTGCTTGAGCCCAGGAGTTCAAGACCAGCCTGGGCAACATGGCAAAACCCCATCTTCACAAAAAATACCAAAAAAAAAAAAAAAAAAAAAAATTAGCCGGATGTAGTGGCTCATGCCTGTAGTCCCAGCTACTCTGGAGGCTGAGGTAGGAGGGTCATTTGGGCCTGGGAGGTCAAAGCTGCAGTGAGCTGTGATTGTGCCACTGCACTCCAGCCTGGGTGACAGAGTGAGACCGTCTCTACAAAAATAAAGTCAAATGGCGTGTACTTGCATTTAACCTAAGTACATCCTCCCTCATACTTTAAGTCTCTAGATTACTTATAATACCTGATACAGTGTGAAAGCTATGTAAATATTGTTCTACTGTATTTTTATTTGTATGATTTTTTGTTGTGTTGTGATTTTTATTATGATTTTTTTTGGGGGGATGGCGAAGAGAGTCTTGCTCTGTCACCCAGGCTGGAGTGCAGTGGCACAGTCACAGCTCACTGCAGCCTTGACCTCCTGGGCTCAAGCGATCCTCTCGCCTCAGCTTCCTGAGTAGTTCGGATCACAGGTGCGTGTGACCACATCCGCTAATTTTTTAATTTTTGTAGAGATAGAGTCTCACTCTGTTGTCCAGGCTGGTCTTGAACTCCCAGGCTCAAGCAACCCTTCTGCCTCAGCCTCCCAAAGTGTTGGGATTACAGACATGAGCCACTGTGTCCTGCCTGTGTATTTTTTAAAAATATTTTCAATCTGCGGTTGGTTGAGACCGTGGATGTGGAATCCATGGATATGGAGGGCTGACTGTTCACTGGCTTTTGGATAAAAATCCCAGCTCTTCCACTGACAAGCTGTGCGATGCTGGGCAAGTCACTTAAGCAGCCAGAGCCTCACATTTCCCATCTACAAAATGGGAATACTAACACTTACCTTTAAGGGGTGGAAATTAGGACTGATGCATTATAAGCACCTGGCACCCATGGATGCTGCTGCAGCCGTTGCTAATATTATTAATATTGACAGTGCCTTACCTTTCATAATGTATAAGCCATATCTGACTGTGCATCAGAAATAGCTGGGAAGCATTTAAGAAAAATTACTGGGCCCCATCCAAGAACTCCGGAATCAGACTTTCTTGGAGTAGAACCAAAGCATGCTGGCACCTCACTTGCTCCTCCAGGTGCGCCCCACACCCTTATCCACCTGCTCTGGGCCCCAGGAGGCTGACTCCCCATTGGGACAAAAGTGCACATTGGGATAGACTGTGGCTCCCCATTGGGTCTCAGTTGATTCGACTGAGAGTCAGGATGGATCAGCAAAGGGATGTTCCTTCAAGCCCCTTTCCCACAGCTTTTCCATGCAGCTTCCTCTCTTCAGCGCCTGCAGTCCTTGGGGTTGTTTTAAACAATACCCAGGATTTTTATTTAAGACAGGGTCTCACGCTGTTGCCCTGGCATGATCATAGCTCACTGCAGCCTCGACCTCCCCAGGTCAAGCCATCCTCCCTCCTTGAGCTCCCACAGCACCGGGATTAGAGGTGTGAGCCACCAGGCCCGGCCTGCACCCAGGATTTTAATCAGCCATGGATTAAGATGACAACCATGGAGACAACTGCTTGAAAGAAGAGTTTCTTACTGACGATTCGACAGCACAACAGGACCATATGGGGAAGCACCGGAGTCAGTCAGGGGGTGGAAGGAGCTGGGGCATGGACTGTGGGAAGGGAGGGGCGAGGCAAGCTGAGCAGGGTTCGGATTGGCCAGTTCAAATAATTCCAGTGGGCTCTGGGCTACAGGGCTGGTCTCTAGCTGTCACATACCTGGCCCATGGGTGATGAGGGCAGGGGTGTGAGAGTTACATAAAGCGGGTGGTTGGGGCACAGCTTTGGCTTGGTTGGTTTGATAGGGAGAGGCAGGTCCAAAGGCAAGGTGCTTGCTATCTCTAGGAGTTAGCTAGCCCCAGGAAGGGAGTCTCTCCCTGGCCAGCAAGGCCCAGAGATGTTTCACAGCATCAGAAAATATAAAAAGCAGGCCAAGGCACAGTGGCTCACACCCGTAATCCGAGCACTTTGGGAGGCCGAGGCGGGTAGATCACCTGAGGTCAGGAGTTCAAGACCAACCTGGCCAACATGGCGAAACCCCATCTCTACTAAAAATACAAAAATTAGCCAGGTGTGGTGGGTGCCTGTAATCCCAGCTACTCAGGAGGCTGAGGCAGGAGAATCACTTGAACCCAGGAGGCTGAGCTTTCAGTGAGCTGAGATCGCACCACTGCACTCCAGCCTGGGTGACAAGAGCGAGACTCTGTCTCAAAAAAAAAGAAAGAAAACATAAAACGCATGATTACTCAGGGGTGATAAATGCACCCACTGTTCCAACCTCTGGGAACTGCACTGTCCCTTGTGCACAGCTTCCTGAGTAACTCTCTCTTAACTGCTCTGCAAATTAGCCATTGGGGTGCCCTCTGTTTCCTGCAGGGACCTGACCAATACACGAGGAATCCCCAGGTGATCCCAAGGCAGCCAGGCACTGGAGCAGATGCTTTTTCAGAACCACTTCGTGCACTGCACAGAGCTGAAAGTTAGCAAAGCTCAGAGGGTCTGGTTGGATCTTCACAGTAAGTCTATGGAAGGAATATTTAGGAATGGACAAAAGTGCACACTCTGGGGCTCCTGAGGGTTCCCAGGTGACCGCAGCAGCCTTCACACAGGCTTCTCCAGCGCAGCTCTCAGCATGAACGGCCGCTCAGTGGGGCCCTGGAGGCGGTGGGCTCCTTGAGACAGGAGGTATCTGGGTCCAGTGTCTTATGGGAAGTGCCACTGTATTCTGTGGGAGCCTTGATGCTTCCAGGAATACTGGGGAAATTTCGGGATTTCCAGCCCAGCAGGCAGGATGCTTGTGTCGTATGAGCGGGTGTTTCCCCCATGGCCTCGTCTTTGACCCACGTGCTGGCTTCCATCCCCTCCCTGTCTTGCACCTCTGTGTTCTCTCTCACCCTCTGGCCTGTTAATGAGCTTAGATTTAGACCTTCCCAGTCTTCCTGCAGGGGCCCTCTGCTCGACACTGACGGCTTGCCGTGGCTTCTGGCTGGGGTCTGGGTGGGGAGCTGGGAGTCCTCACGTCCTGGGTTTTAGGTGGTTTGTCTAGGCAGTCTTTCCAGTGAGGAACAGTTCTAATTGGCGGTGGGTTTCCAGGGGTCTGCTCGGCTTATGGGCACTGTGCTTGCCCAAGGACACTGGCTCCTGGCTAAGGGAAGACATGGGGCAGGGGGCGTGGAGCCAGGTGGAGTCAAGAGCTCACGGTAGCGGACCAGGAGGGACAGACGCTGGATGGCCAGCTCAAAGCAAGCTTCGTCCCTGAGAAGTGCCTGGAGGAAGAGCTGCACCAGGTGTTGACCAACCAGGACTTTGCATTAATTTATGTGTTTAGCCCGCCAGCTGCTCTGTTAGGCAGATGTCTGCAGGCTGAGCCTCTCAGTGTCTGGATATGGAGATGATGGAGTACTTTGGAATTAGCAAGATAAAGTTTTAAAGGGACTGATTTAGCTGGCTAGAGTGACTGCTTGCACCGGTAGACAAATGGGGTGGAAATACTTTTAAATGAACTGTGATGATTGCCATGAGAAAGACCAGTGAGAGGAGGTGCCTGGGAAGATAAAAATCAAACCCAGTTAGCATGACGAAAGCTCCCTTCTGGCCTCTGCACAGGGGATGAGTGGTTGGAGACGGTTCCGTGGCCCGACCCTGCGAGACCATTAGGACTTTCAGGGGGAATGGCCACCTCCTCCCCACGACCGATTCTGGTTATCACCAGCGGCAGGCAGCTTCCCTCGGCGAGGGTCCTCTTGATGGCTCTGCAGACAGGACGGGGGCTCTCTGAAGAGGGGAGGTACTGGCGGAAGTCCCCTGGGCTCCATCAGAAATGTGGTTGGACATGAAGGCAGGTCCCAGCTGCCAGCTGCCCGGGGGAGCCCAGCTCCCCCGAGAGTGCTCAGCTGTGGTCTTTCCCCGGGGCCCCAGCTACAGACTGCCCATCGGCCCCTCACCATCGAACATCTACTCTTGGAACTGATGCACCTGCAGAATTGGAGTTTCAGCCTTCAGCATGTGTGTGTGATGGAGCTTCGTAGAATGTGGTGGGGCTTAGAACAACAGTATCTCAGAGGAAGGATGTGCATCTCCCAGGCCAGGCTGGGACCAGGGAGGGATGGACGGGAGAGGAGCC